>NC_000012.12:73823764-73975279 GCF_000001405.40 Homo sapiens
TGGGTAAAATTCAGAAATGTTTGCATTTGATAAGAAAGTGTTTTGGACACGTTAAATTTCAGATGCCTATCAGGCACCCAAGTGAAGACATCAAACAGGAATTTACATATCTGGCTTGCAAGCTCATTGGAAATGTTTAGAATAGAAATGCAAATTTGGCACTCATCTATTTTTAGACATATTAAAAGTACAGGACTTTATTAGATCTAGAGAGTGAATGTGAGTGAAAACAAGATCTTTGACTAAGCCCTGTGGTACTCTTAATATTTAGAATTTAAGCAAAGAAAGAGGAGCCAATGAAAGAGACTAAGGAAGGATGGCAATTTAATAATAAGGCTAAGATAATGGTGTCCCTGAAGATAAACTCAAAAAGTGTTTCAGGAGAATAGGAGAAAATGAGCACATATGCAAAATCAAATTAAGAACTTAGCTGGTTAGGAGAGTTGATGACTGAACTAATCATTCATTTTGGTAAATTTAAATTTCTTAGTGATGTTGACTAGAATTGTTTCAGTGGGTTGAAGATGTCAATTATTTTTAGAAATTTTATTGAAAAGAGGAGCAGAGAAGGGGTTAAAAAGGTCAAAATGGTTTTTAAAATGTTAAAAAAAATACGTAATACATGTCTGTATGTTCTTGAAAGTGATCCAAGAAAAGGAAAAATGCATTAATGCAAACAGAAAAGATAATTCTAGAAACAATGTTATTATTATTATTATTATTAGAAGAGATGAGATTCCATTATACAGGTAAAATTTGGTGGTTTGCTTAGAGAGGAGCAAGAATAGCTATTCTACTTTAATAAGAATAAAAGCAGAAAATGTGAGTATAAATTTAGATTGATTGGTAGACTGTATATTGAAAGTGGAAGATTTGGCATTTACTTCATCATGGCGTCTAGATCTTCAGTAAAATAAAATAAAATAATAAAATAAAATAAAATAAAATAAAATAAGGGATGCAAAATGATAATAGGGTAAAATTGGATGACTGGAGGGAGAGCCGGAACTGTGAAATGGTCATCTTGAAGAGTTGTAGCAATAAAGTAGTAAAAATATAGAAAAAGCCACTGAGATTTATGGTCATAAATTTAATGTGAAACCAGTCAACAAAATTATAAATTTTTTCCTGTCATGTTCTAACTCAACTAGAAGGAAAATAAACCAACAGTTAAAATTAACCAGGAATAGAGATTTTCTAGGTAGTAGTATGGTTGATTTCAATATATTAGTGACTAATATGGTTTGGATGGGTTCCCACTCAAATGTCATTTTGAAGTATAATCCCCACAATCCCTACATGTCTTGGGAGAGACCTGGTGGGAGGTGATTGCATCATGGGAGTGGTTTCCCCCATGTTGTTCTCATGATAGTGAGTGAGTTCCCACAAGATCTGATGGTTTTATAAGGGGCTCTTTCCCTCTTTCTCCAGTCTGGGGTAGTATCTTTACAGCAGTGTGAGAATGGACGAACACAGTAAATTGGTGCCAGTAGAGTTTGGTACTGTTATAAAGATGCCAGCAAATGTGGAAGTGACTTTGGAACTGGGTAACATGCAGAAGTTGGAATAGATTGGAGGAATCAGAAGAAGACAGGAAGATGTGGGAAAGTTTGAAACTTCCTAGAGACTTGTTGAATGGTTTTGACCATAATGCTGATAATGATATAGACAATGAAGTCCAGGCTGAGGTGGTCTGCAATGAAGATAAGAAACTCACTGGGAAATGGGGCAAAGTTCACTCTTGTTATGCTTTAGCAAAGACACTGGTGGCATATTGCCCCTGCCCTAGACATCTGTGTAACTTTGAACTTCAGATGAATGATTTAGGGTATTTGGCATAAGAAATTTCTAAGCAGCAAAGCATTCAAGAAGTGACCTGGGTGCTTGTGATGGTTAATACTAAGTGTCAACTTGATTGGATTGAAGGATACAAAGTATTGACCCTAGGTGTGTCTGTGAGGGTGTTGCTAAAGGAGATTAACATTTGAGTCAGTGAATGGGGAAAGGCAGACCCAACTTTAATTGGGTGGGCACCATCTAATCAGCTGCCAGAGAATATAAAGCAGGCAGAAAAACGTGAAAAGGAGAGACTGGCCTAGTCTCTCAGCTGACACCTTTCTCCTGTGCTGGACACTTCCTGCCCTCGAACCTCACACTGCGAGTTCAGTTTTGAGACTCAGACTGGCTCTACTTGCTCCTCAAGCTTGCAGACAACCTATTGTGAGATCCTGTGATCATGTAAGTCGATATCTAATTAACTTCCCATATATATATATATATATATCCTATTATATATATATATATATCCTATTATATATATATATCCTATTTTATATACATATATCCTATTTATTTATATATATATATATATAATAGTTTTGTCTCTCTAGAGAACCCTTACTAAAAGAGGTTTTGGTACCAGGAGTGGTTCTAGAGGAACAGAATATTAAGAATGGAGTTCTTTTGTTGGTTTTGGGGTTTCTGGAGTTGGCTGCTTAATATGATTAGACTTCAAAATGCTAAGGATTCTACTTCTAACAGTGTGGAGAACGCCAATAGTCCTTGGCATAAACTGTTTAGAAAGTTATGCAAAATAAGTGCATTTGACACTCCTGACTCACCACTCATGAGAGGCAAGGAGTTGAGTGACTCTATACATAACACCTTTGACCATATGTGGAGAACCAAGGAACATAAAGAAGCTGGTTGGTTGCTCCTAAAGTTCAGGGAACAAAGTAATGAAAGAAAATGATGAACTCAGGCATTCTGTCTCTTAGCTTCAGAAGCAGATACTGAGCCTCAAATCTGCTAAGATTGCCCTGAGTGAGACTTATCTCCTGTAGAGAAAGAGCTAAAAGTGTGGAAAAACAGATACAAGGTCTTATCATGCGAATGGCTGACCTGCAATGAAATGGGCATGCACAGCCTTGCCAGATATCTTCTGTTAAAGTGAGGGCATTGATTAGAAAAGAATAGGACCCTGCAGCTTGGAATAGGGATGTGTGAGAGGACCCTGATGAAGTTGGAGACACTGAGCTTGTAAACTCTGATGAACGTTTTTTTGACAAAAGGAACAGCTACCTCATCCCCAGTAGTGGCAACTTTCCCTCCCCTACCCATGCTGCCATCAGCCTTTCCACATTTCTCTGAGGAGATAAGCCCTGTGCTTCCTGAGACAATAGTGATGGCCTCCCCTGAGGCAGTTGCCAGGCCAAATAATGTTGATTCTCTTCAGGAGCCATCCCCAACACCCCTGTTTGCTTCTAGATCTAAACTTTACTTCTAGGCCTAACGTCCTGGTAGGATCCTTGAGGTGAGGTTGAGAGTGTGACCCATGAGGAGGTGTGGTACACTCAAAAAGAACTATTTGAGTTCTCTACTTTATATGAACAGAAATCTGGAGAACAGGCATGGGAATGGATATTAAGGGTATGGGGTAATGGTGGAAGGAACAGAGTTGGATCAGGCTGGATTTATTGATTTGGGCCTACTAAGTAGAGACTCTGCTTTTAATGTTGCAGCTAGGGGAGTTAAAAAATGTTCTAGGCCAGGCACAGTGACTCACACCTATAATCACAGCACTTTGGGAGGCTGAGGCAGGTGGATCACCTGAGGTCGGGAGTTCAAGACCAACCTGAGGTCGGAGTTCAAGACCAACCTGACCAACATGGAGAAACCCTGTCTCTACTAAAAAACAAAACAAAACAAAATTAACCAGGCATGGTTGTGCATGCTTGCCTGTAATCCCAGCTACTCGGGAGGCTGAGGCAGGAGAATCACTTGAACCTGGGAGGTGGAGGTTGTGGCATGCCAAGATCATGCCATTGCACTCTAGCTTGGGCAACAAGAGCGAAACTCCACCTAAAAAAAAAAAATGTTCTAATAGTTTATTTGCTTGGTTAGCTGAAATATGGATTAAAAGATGGCCCAAAATGAGCAAGCTGCAAATGCCTGATCTCTTGGTTTAATGTACAGGAAGGGGTGCAAAGGCTTAGGGAGATTGGGATGGTGGAATGGATTAGTCATTTTAGACCTACTCATCCCAGCTGGGAGTGTCCAGAAGATATACTCTTGACCAGTGCCTTGTAGATATATCTTTAACCAATGCCTTGTGAAATAGATTTGTGAAGGCAGCACCTGAAGTTTTGAAGAGCCCTGTAATTGCTCTTTTCTCTGTATGACAGATCTAACAGTGGGAACCACAGTCACTCGACTACAAAATTTAAATACAATGGGAATAACTGGATCCCAAGGTGGCAGGGGCCAATTGGTCACACTCAGTGATCAAAGGCAAGGTGGACGTAGCTACCGTAATGAACAGCAGAGGCAAAGCAGCAATCAGAATAGTTTAACTCGTGTGGACTGCTGACATTGACTAATCAATCACAGTGTTCCGAGAAATGAAATTGATAGGAAGCTTACTGCATTCCTACTTAATTTATACAAGCAGAAAGCTTCTAGGTCGAATGGAGAAAGGACTAATTTGAATTATAAACACAGAGAATCATGGCCCCTAAATCAATTTTCAGACTTGAGCCAGTTTACAGACCCCAAACCCCCTGAATGAAGGGGAGGCTGGATCCCTTTGATGAAGGACCCCACTACATTACTGACAATTTTCCTATCCTTCCTTAAGAATACCTCTGGCCTTTTACCAAGGTAACTGTACATTGGGCAAAGGGAAATGATTAGACATTTCAGGGACTACTGGACACTGGCTCTGAGCAGACATTGATTCCAGAAGACCCAAAATGTCATTATGGTCCCCCAGTTAAAACAGGGGTTTGTGGAGGTTATGTAATTAATGAAGTTTTAGCTCAGGTCTGATTTACAGTGAGTCTAGTGGGTTCACGGATTCATCCTATGGTCATTTCCCCAGTGCCATAATGCATAATTGGCATAGACATACTTGGCAGCTGGCAGAACCCCCACATTGGCTCCCTGACTAGTAGGGTGAGGGCTACTATGGTGGGAAAGGCTAAATGGAAGCCATTAGAGCTGCCTCTACACAGAAAAATAGTAAATAAAAAAAAATTACATCCCTGGAGGGATTGTAGAGATTAGTGCCACCATCAAGGACTTGAATGATGCAGGAGTGGTGATTCCCACCACATCCCTGTTCAACTCTGCCATTTGGCAGGTGCAGAAGACAGGTGGATCTTGGAGAATGACGGTGGATTATTGTAAGCTTAACCAAGTGGCGACTCCAATTGCAGCTGCTGTACCAGATGTGGTTTCATTGATTGAGCAAATTAACACAACTCCTGGTACCTGGTATGCAGCCATTTACTTGGTAAATGCCTTTTTCTCCATTCCTGTCCATAAGGCCCACCAGAAGCAATTTACCTTTAGCTGGCAAGGCCAGCAATATACCTTTACTGTCCTACCTCAGGGGTATATCAACTCTCCAGCTTTGTGTCATAATCTTATTTGGAGAGACCTTGATCGCCTTTTGCTTCCATAAGATATTACACTGGTACATTACATTCATGACATTATTCTGATTGATCCAATGAGCAATAAGTAGCAAACACACTGGACTTGTTGGTGAGACATTTGCATGCCAGAAGGTGGGAAATAAATCCTACAAAAATTCAGAGACCTTCTACCTTAGTAAAATTTCTAGGGTCCAGTGGTGGGGGTCTGCCGAGATATTCTTTCTAAGGTGAATAATAAGTTGCTGCATTTGGTCCCTCGTACAACCAAGAAAGAGAGAAAGAGGCACAACCCCTAATGGGCCTATTTGGATTTTGGAGGCAACACATTTCTCATTTGGGTGTGTTACTCTGATCCATTCATTGAGTGACTCAAAAGTCTGCCAGTTTTGAGTGGGGTCCAGAAAAGGAGAAGGCTCTGCAACAGGTCCAGGCTGCTGTGCAAGCTGCTCTGCCACTTGGGCCATATGACCCAGCAGATCCAATAGTGCTTGAGGTGTCAGTAGCAGATAGGGATGCTGTTTGGAGCCTTTGGCAGACCCCCATAGGCGAATCACAGCGGCAGCCTGTAGGATTTTGGACTGAGACCTTGCCATCTTTTGCAGATAACTACTCTCCTTTTGAGAGACAGTTCTTGGCCCGTTACTGGGCTTTGGTGGAAACTGAACATTTGACTATGGGTCATCAAGTCACCATGCCTGAACTGCCTATCATGACATGGATACTTTCTGACCCATCTAGCCATAAAGTGGGTCATGCACAGCAGCATTTTGTCATCAGATGGAAGTGGTATATATATGATCAGGCTCAAGCAGGTCCTGAAGGCACAAGTTACATGAGGAAGTGGCTCAAATGCCCATGCTCTCCACTCATGCCACCCTCCCTTCTCTCCCTCAGTCTGCACTGATGGCCTCGCGGGGAGTTCCCTAGGATCAGTTGACAGAGGAAGAGAAAACTAGGGCCTGGTTCACAAATGGTTCTGCACAATGCGCAGGCACCACCCAAAAGTGGACAGCTGCAGCACCCTAGCCCCTTTCTACAACATCCATGAAGGACAGTGGTGAAGGGAAAACTTCCCAGTGGGCAGAACTTCAAGTGGTGCACCTGGTTGTGCTCTTTGCATGGAAGGAGAAATGGCCAGATGTGCAATTATATACTGATTCCTGGGCTGTAGCCAATGGTTTGGTTGGATGGTCAGGGACTTGGAAGTAGCATGATTGGAAAATTGGTGACAAAGGAATTTGGGGAAGAGGTATGTGGCTGGACCTCTCTGAGTGGTCAAAAACTGAAGATATTTGTATCCCATGTGAGTGCTCCCCAATGAGTGGCCTCAACAGAAGAGGATTTTAATAAAGCGGAAAGGATGACCTGTTCTGTGGACACCACTTAGCCTCTTTCCCCAGCCACCCTTGTAATCGCAAAATGGGCCCATGAACAAAGTGGCCACGGTGGCAGGGATGGAGGCTACACAAGGACTCAGCAATATGGACTTCTACTCACCAAGGCTGATGTGGCTATGGCCACTGCTGAGTGCCCAATTTGCCAGCAGCAGAGACTAACACTGATCCCTCGATATGGCACCATTCCTCAGGGTGATCAGCCAGCTACCTGGTGGCAGTTGATTATATTGGACCTCTTCCATCATGGAAAGGGCAGAGGTTTGTCCTCGCTGGAAAAGACACTTACTCCAGATATGGGTTAGCCTATCCTACACAAAATGCTTATCCCAAGACTACCATCCGTGGACTAATGGAATGCCTTATCCACCAACCTGGTATTCCATACAGCATTGGCCCTGAACAAGGCACTTACTTTACAGCAAAAGAAGTGTGGCAGTGGGTTCATGCTCATGGAATTTACTAGTCTTACCATGTTCCCCATCATCCTGAAGCAGCTGGATTGATAAAACAGTGGAATGGCCTTTTGAAGTCACAATTACAATACAAACTAGGTGAGAATACTTTGCAGGGCTGGGGCAAAGTTTTCCAGAAGTCCTTGTATGTTCTGAATCAGCATCCAATATATGGTAGTTTCTTCCATAGCCAGGACTTATGGATCCAGGAATCACGGGGTGGAAGTGGAAGTGGCACCACCCACCATCATTCCTAATGATCCACTAACAAAATTTTTGCTTCCTGTTCCCATGACATAACGTTCTGCTGGCATAGAGGTCCTAGCTCCAGAAGGAGCAATGCTGACACTAGGAGACACAACAACGATTCCATTAAACTGGAAGTTAAGATTGCCACCTGGACACTTTGTGGTGTCCTCCTACCTTTAAATCAACAGGCTAAGAAGGGCGTTACAGTGTTGGCTATGGTGACTGACCAGACTATCAAGGTGAAATCAGTCTACTACTACACAACAGAGGCAAGGAAGAGTATGCATGGAATACAGGAGATCCATTAGGGCGTCTCTTAGTATTACCATGCCCTGTGATTAAGGTCAGTGGGAAACTAAAACGGCCCAAACCAGGCAGGACTACAAATGGCCCAGACCCTTCAGTAATGAAGGTTTGGGTCACTCTACCAGGAAAAAAACCACAAACTGCTGAGGTGCTTGCTAAAAGCAAAGGGAATACAGAATGGATAGTAGAAGAAGATAGTTATAAATACCAGCCATGACTACGTGACCAGCTGCAGAAATGGAGACTGTAATTGTCATGGTATTTCCTTCTTCCTTTGTTAAAAATATGTTTGTGCATGTATACACGTGTACTAAGAAAATATCTTCAGTTTATTTATTTTTCCTTTATCATATAAGATTTATTGACTTCACAGCATTTAAGTATTTTTAACTTTATGTAATAGTATTTGGGTTGGGGATTGGTGCATTTCCTGTTGTACGAAGGATAGTGGTATTAGGCATAATTATGACCTTATTATTGTCTTTATTTGAAAATTATGTATAATCTCAGGAGATGTTTATGGGTTCAAGCTGACACTGGATGGACTTTTCATGGTTAATACTGATTGTCACCTTGATTGAATTGAAGGCTACAAAGCATTGATCCTGGGTGTGTCTGTGAGGGTGTTGTCAAAGGAGACTAACATTTAACTCAGTGGAATGATAAATATATATATATATATAATATATATATATGCATATATATATATCTCCTATGGAGGATATATTTTTATATATATTCTCATGTGGAGGATATATTTATATATATATATGTATTCTCCTGTGGAGGATATATTTATATATATATATATTCTCCTGTGGAGGATATATTTATATATATATATGTTCTCCTGTGGAGGACATATTTATATATATATGTTCTCCTGTGGAGGATAGATTTATATATATATATTCTACTGTGGAGGATATATTTTTATATATATATATTCTCCTGTGGAGGATATATTTTTATATATATATATATTCTCCTGTGGAGGATATATTTTTATATATATATATATATTCTCCTGTGGAGGATATATTTTTATATATATATATATTCTCCTGTGGAGGATATATATTTATATATATATATATATATTCTCCTGTGGAGGATACATTTTTATATATATATTCTCCTGTGGAGGATATATTTATATATATATATATTCTCCTGTGGAGGATACATTTATATATATATTCTCCTATGGAGATATACATATATATATTCTTAGGGAGATATATGTATATCTTCTACAGGAAGCAAAATTTTGCTAGTGGGTCACTAGGAGTGATGGATCTCTAGGCCAGAAGAATGTTATGTCATGGAAACAGGAAGCAAAAATTTTGCTAGTGGATCACTAGGACTGATATATATATATACATATATATATGTATATATATCAGTATATATATGATATATATGTATATATATTATATACATATATGTCATTTATATATATATATATCAGTCCACTGACTCAAATGTTAGTCTCCTTTGACAACACCCTCCACAGACACACCCAGGATCAATGCTTCAATGCAATCAAGTTGACAATCAGTATTAACCATCAAAAGTCCACCTAATGTCAACTTGATATCCTATGTATATCCTATTTTATATATATATCCTATTATATATATATCCTACTAGTTCTGTCTCTCTAGAGAACCCTGGCTAATACAGTGCTCTTAAAAGCACTAAGTTATATGCATTCACAAAGATGGTTTGGACTTGGACTTTTGGGTTAATGCTAGAATGAGTTAAGAATTTGGGAAACTGTTGGAAAGGCATGATTGTGTTTTGATATATGAGGACATGAGATTTGGGAGGGGCCAGGGGCATAATGATATGGTTTGGCTCTGTACTCACTCAAATCTCATCTTGAATTGTAATCCCTGTAATCCCCATATGTCTAGGGAGAGACCTGGTGAAAGGTGTGTGGATCATGGGGGTGGTTCCCCCATGCTGTTCTCATGGTAGTGAGTGAGTTCTCATGAGATATGTTGGTTTAATAAGGGGTTCTTCTCCCTTTGCTCCACACACTTCTCTCTCCTGCCTCCTTGTGAAGAAGTTGCCTTCTTCCCCTTCTATCATGATTGTACGTTGCCTGAGGCCTCCCCAGAGGTGTAGAACTGTGAGTCAATTAAACCTCCTTTGTTTATAAACTACCCAGTGTCGGGTAGTATCTTTATAGCAGTGTGAGTCGCTTATACACCGATTTACTATAAAAAATATGTAATTTGCATAAAGTCTGATGTGAATCCAGATCCTCTCCAGGGAATCATTCCTCCCTGTGTGAGCTCAGTATTTGGAATTGCTTTGATATTTTGGCACCTTCAACCAACACATGTTTTAGTGATTGCTCAGCAAAAAGGAGGAAAGACAGGGAATCACACACTGGTTCTATAATATTTGTACTAAAATGTGGCATATGACACATTTATGTCCTATTGGTCAAAGCTGGTCAGTACAAAGCAGTGGAGTATTCTCTTAGATGCAGGATGCAAGAAGGCCAGAAATATTGGTGAGGGTCACTAGTATCTTGTATATCAGATGAGCATGATAGAGGAAAATTAAATCAGTTCAATGGATGGTATATTTAAAAGAGTTATTCTAATAATGTTTCATGGAATCTAAGTTATAAAACAAGTTAAATAAGGGAAAGCAAGGTATTGGGTCATGAATACCAAAAGGTTCCAATGTAATGAGGTCCTAGACTGTCCAAAGCTTAGTTGACAAAGGGATAGTAGACTCAGATGGAAAAGTTGAAGTAGATGGCAAAGAATGAGCATTGATAAAGACATTTTTTATGTTTGTTTTAAATGGCAGTAATTTTCAATGGCACTAATTGCCAGTAAGAATGGGAAACTAAAATAGTTTAGAAGAAAAGTCATTGGAAATGCCAGTCATTGGAGTGACAAGCCATGGCATTTGAAAGTTTACATATATAGATATTGCAGTTTCCGGTGTAAAAGACAGGGAAGTGAAGTAGCAATGTGCATAGACTTTGCATTGAAAGACAGGTGGTGGAAAGTATAAACCAAGCAGAAAGAATTGAGGTTTTAAGATAGGAGTAATGATCTTGGTGAACACTAAGGAGATGTAGACTCCTTGAGTAACAGTCAGATTCAGACACTGAGAGAAGACTTAGTAAAGATATAGAGATTTGCTGTTAACAGAGGGTAGTTACAGTGACTGTGTTTGGGAGTTAGGGAATGTTAGGACATTGGGTCCAATTAGGGGATCTATAGAGACATATGGGTGATTGTGGAAGTTTGGGGATTTTAGTTGTTTCCAAAATAAACAGGACTATAAAATGATTACATTAGTACTGATGGTTTCTTAGGGAAAATTGGGTAATCAGTTCTAATTATAGCTTCCTTTTTAGGATTAATCTGTTTAACAGTTTGTAAGCAGGCAGCATATAGGCCAAGGGAGGGGCAGTCTTACCAAGAACATCAGTTGCTCTACGGATCTCTGTAAATCTTGTTTGGCAGTGGCCCCACTAAGGGAAATAGTAATGGGAAAAACAGAGCTTTGTGTATCTCTTAAGTATTATAATAGGATGAATTAGGGCCAGAAAAGAAGCAGTAGTACATAGAGCATTTGCACCTTTGAATGGTTTTCCACGTTGAAATCCCACTAATAATGATAATTTCTGCTTTAACTTTCTACTGTTGATATTAATATTTTATGGTGTATGCTCACAAGCACAAACCCAAACAAAGCAAGACTGCATGTGTGTGTGCCCAGGCACTTATTAGATATGTTCTCAAACAAGTAACTAAACTTCTTTGGGCTTCAGTTTCCTATCTGAGAAACACTACCAATTCAGTTGTTATCAGAATTAGACAAAGTAATATGTTCAAAGCACCAAGAAAAATACCTAGCACAGAGCTTTTGATACTATTATTATTAAGTAAGTGTTGTCTACTGTTTTCATTGAATAGTCTTCTAAAGTATGGTCAAATCTTTCTTCTATTTGTAAACTATATCTTGTCCCTGTGTGCTAGTAATCATTTATGAAGACCTTTAAAGATGATTGTGATTTGGTCTTTGTGCATCATAAAGGGGAAAATCAAGAATTTGTTTATAACTGTAGATACTGAATTTTAGATCTAATATTTAAATCTATTATTTTGAGAACCTAACTTGCAGATCATCCCATATTTCACAGTCAATGCTAAATAAGCGGATGTTTTATTGTTCTGTTTTTCTAACCTTCACCAGAAAAATAAAATATTTCAATAAAGCTGAAACAACCATCAGAGGCCTCTATTTGGAGTGTGTCAGTGAACCAGTTACAACATTTATCATATACCAATAAGAACCATTATTTAATTTTAGGATTTATGCCAATAATTCTTTATCCTTCTGATTGCAAAATAAAAGTAATAACTCAATCCTATTAAATATGCAAACTTAATGGTGGTGGTGGGGTTATGTTTCACAGAATGCTAGTGATGTCTTTATCAGAATTCAGTGTCAGGTTGTTACCTCTTCATGAAATGAATCAAAAAGCTTCCCATGTTTTCTTCTCCTCTTCCAGAGACAAAGAAATTTTATGCTCTGTGATAGGCTCTGGTTCTACTACAAACTAACAGCATTTTGCTGACTATTTTTGCTTATACATATATATATATATATATATATATATATATATATTCTCTATTTTCATTCCCATCTACCTTATTTTTAAATAAAATTGAGAACATATTGTTTTTCTAAAAAAAAAGACCACTGCATTAAGATTTTTATTTTTGTAGCTAGAATTATCTGTAATATTATCTTCTACTGTTTTTTTAATTTTTTAAAATTATTTTCTTATTTATTCATTATTCTGAGATTAAATGCCTATTTTAATTCTCTTTTTTATGTCTTTTTATTTCCTTGCTTATTTTACCACAGGTTTCTTCATTTCATTGATTAGTCAGATAAAAAATTCCTGAATGTATTTATCAATTATATATTTTACCTTCAATTTATTTAATTTTTTGCTTTAATGCAATTTCAGACACATAGTTTTGTTATTCCTCTTCCAGTTTCTTAAATCGAATTCTCATTATATTTATTTTAATTTTCTCTTCATTCATAATTAACTAACATTTTACTGATTTTTCTTTTGAAAATATTTGATGCATTAGTTTTGACATTTAGGATGTAGTTGTTAATGTTTAAATAGTCTAAAACTACTGTTTAATTATCTCTTTTCTCTAACTAAGAAGACATTTACTTTTGTACAAGAGGGTAGATTAAAAATATTTTTGGTGACTTCAAGATGTTTGCATTGAGGTTGAAGACTAGGACTTAAACAGCTTCAGTGTTTTAAAGCATGTTGAACTCTAATAAGCAATTGCTGGCTTTTGAAACATTAATGGTTACTAGACAAAAGGATCTGTTTTATGGTATAAAGTTTAATACACTCCTTCACCTTATTATTTTATTAGAACATAATACAATGTTAAGTACAGGTCTGGCATAGAATAGTTCTGGGTAAAATGCTGGCCTCATTTAACAGCTATGTGACCTTGAATCACTCACTTTCTGTCTCAGGATAAATCCTATTTAAATTATTTTAGCTTTATTTTTCTGTATCAAAAATTACTATGATGGCTAAATGAAATTTGTAAAGTACTTAATATATTGCATAGAAGAAAATAATTTTTATTAAATTATTAAATTGTAATTGCTATTGATATTATTGGTTTAATTATTACTATTTATGATTATGTACATCTTACAAACACACATATCAAAGTCTAAAAGAGGTATGATTATTTTTTCCAACTGCTTTTGTAACTTACTTGCATATTTACAGCCAATGCAGTATGATTAAGGCACAGGAGTTTTATGGCAATTTTATCTTCTTAGAGAAATATAAAACTAAAAATCTTGTGCTCTGAATTTATCTGGCCTGGATATCAGTCTGAACTCCATTGTTTTCCAATTACATGGTCTTTGAAAAAATTAACTCGCTTTATTTATTTATTTATCTTGGAAACAAAAATTATACCAAGTATAATTTAGAACTATATATGAGTTAATAAACATAAAGTTATAGAACAGTCACTGGTACAGTATAAAAACTCACTAAATGCAGCTATTACTAATATCATATATTAAGCCCTTCAAGGAAAAATATATGTTATACTATGAAATGTCACCCATTTGCTTTGTTTACCATATATGTACCTATTTTTAACTTTTTAATGTCACTTAATTTCAGGTATGACTATTTCATGTAGTTATATTCTACCTTTTGTCACTTTGTTTTATTTTAATAAGTACAACTCCTTAAAATTTAATGTTTTAATTGATACAAGTTGTGTTGCATTTATTTGCAAGCTTGCTATATGCCTCAATTTTTAAATTTTCTTGGTTGTGTTCTTACTTGCTTGAATTTTTTCCAAAGTGATTTTTAATAGTTTTTTTAAAGTTGTTTTTAATCTGTATTTTTCTAGTTGATAAAATTAAGAAAAATACTAATTTTGGCTTACCTATTGACAGGTCTCTTCACACGGACGCGCATTAAACCTATAACAACAAAAAAAATTTAGCCCACTTTTGTTTTGCTCTATTCAAACCAGTTAAAGATTTTTCTCAATACTCTGTCATTTTACATACATAAAATTTTTCAGTATTTGATATTTTTACCATCTGCCATCTTTTTCTGACAGATTAACAAAAATGACTATATTTTTTGCCATTTATCTTTTATTTTAGTACTTAACTTTATTCACTTACACTGTAATTGTTCTTTACATTTTTTCTCTATCTTTAATCTCCTTTCATTATATACATATCTTAAATTTTGGAAAGAAAGGAATGAGAAAGACTTTTTAACACTATGGACATGAGAAGATTTTTATTTTTTATTGAGTTCAAACAAGTGACTACTTAGCAAGGCTTGACATTTGGTGGTCACAATTTTTTTTTCAGTCAATATTCTGAAAACTGTGCATTGTGAATTCTGGCATTTTGTTTGTGCAGCAATATCACAACAACCACTGACCTTTCTTCAGTAGTATCCATTACTTTGTTTATTTGTCTTTCTTATTTTCCATTTGTGATGGCTTAAATAATGTTTTTCTTATCTTTTTAGTTCAAAATTTTTTCATAATAAATCATTTTTGTTGATATTCCTGAGCAAACTATGAAATCATTATCAGCTTTCTGTCACTTGAAATCTTTAGCTATTTAGTCATTTGCTTCTGATACAGAAATTATTGGTACCTTTCACTACATTATCTAACCTTGACATTTGTCACTCTTCTTTTTTCAACATTTGAAATTCATTACCCTTTATTCTCCACATTCTGGGAGAGATTCTCACATTTGTTTTTGAGGTTAATGATTCAATTTTCTGTAGCACCAAATTTTATTTTCTTTCCCTGAAATGCAGTCTTTTTTAAAAAATAATTTTTCATTTTGGACTTATGTTATTACCTTTTAATCTCTTCTGATTTATTCCTTATGTTTTGGTTTTCTCATTTATAAGAACAAATGCCTTGAAATTCATTAAGAATGTGAACAACATTCTAAATTTGTTATTTTGGTTCTTGCATTATATAATTTCAGAAGTATGTGCTTTTTGTGTGTCTTCCAGGTACTAATACATTTACTTATAATGTGTAATGTAGAAAAATTGTTCCATGTTATCATTTTGTTCTTATATTATGTCTATTACTGTAAATACGTATTGCTTAGTATAGCCTAAATGCAATAGAAATAGGACCAAACAAATGGCTTAACACAATAGACGCTTATATATATTTTTTGCTCCCAAAACAATAATTGTTAAATGTACAGGAGGCAGATGATCTTTTATCCATGAATTCATTCAATGACCCAGGCTCCGATTTATTATATCTCTACCAATGCACAGATATTTCTTATTCTCTGTATGCACCCGTCATAAGAAGAAAGAACAAAAAATAGACTGCATAAGTGGTTTTAATGGACCAGAACTGGACCATAATGGCTCACGTCATTATGGCTCATGTGCTGTTGGTGGGAACTCAGTTCTATAGCTATGTCTAACTCTGAGTAAGCCTGAGAAATGAGGCCATTTGTGTGCCAGAGAAGAAGAAAATGGATTTGGTTAATAGCTAGCAGTCTCAGAAATTTTCAAACAAGGCAATATATGGTCTGTCAATATACAAGCCAGAATGAAGTAGACTGAGTAGGGTGTCTTTAGAAATAAATATTAATTAGCAACACTGGCCTTTAAACCTGCTTGGTAACGTCACCCTTTCTCAAACAAGCATAAAATCTCAAATCTAGCCCATAGTTTTTCTACACATTTGCATATCTTAGCAAATATTTCAGTCCTTAAGTATTAAATAATAAATCAATAAAGTCTTGCCTAAGCTAGTATCAAAAGATAAACTCACCCAATTTAGAATTTTTTTCTTATTCAACTTCAGCATGACTTAGACTTGAAAATATACAGTGCAAGGAGAGAGAGTTTGTCTTTTTTTGGTATTTTATGGGCACACAGTAGGAAACATTAACGGCTGTTACTTTCAAAGAAATGGGAAGTCACATTCCTAGTTGACATGGTAACATGCAAAGCTCCAAGCCAATTTCTAATCTTTAATAGATTTTATTTAGGGTTTTGAGTGTTTTCCCTACTGAAATAAAATCTTCTTTTTTTTTTCTCAGTTGATTTGCTGTATGTAATTCTGAATAAATACAGAAAAGTCCATGGAGGAAAATGCATTAAATGCTCAGTCGGCTTTGTTCCTATTAGGTTTCTTAATGTTTCATAGCCTACTAGTTTTAGTCAAGGTACAACTTCTATGAAGCATAAATTCTCATCAGCACCCTACAAATCCTCCTAAATACTACTGGCTTCTCTTTAGAACCCTACCATTCCATTACCAGTTATTCTCCACAATATGAAACATTTGTCTAAATGTAGAGCTATGGTAAGTATAATAGTATTCATGACTGAGGAGTATCATTCAGTTTTTGGACTCCACATGTACTGAGACAGGTGTTAGATCTTACAAGTATTATGAAAGATAACATTAACATAATCAGAATGACATAAAGCCTAAGTAATTTTTTAAAATCCAAATTTATCTGCCTTATCATTAGTGCAAATTACTTTTTGCTTTACATTTTCTGACAGCCTTAGCTTTCATTAAGAGTTTTCATTTTTTCTTCAGTGATGCCACAGGTGTATTTAAAGTGAGTGCCTTGTCCTTTTCTGTTTAAATGTTATTATTATGTAACATACTAGCCCTGAGTATTTGTATATTATTTACAAAAAATATATAAAATTTCTAACTGAATAACTGTGCTGTAGTTTGTCTAAATTTTACTATTATGGGATTCACACTAAAAAAATAGAACACTTTTCTTAATTACACTTGTTTAAGACTATCTTACAGAAGGCGTTTCTCAAACTGATACCCATTGGAGAACTTTTGTTACTGACCCACAAAGAATTACTACAGAAATTGGAGTATTTACAAACATTTCTAGAAAATGCCATTGCTGTAACATACAAGTATGTGATAATTTTTTAGAAATCCATTTTTTTCACAATTATCCTTCTATGATGCAGACAGGCAAAATAATCTTTCACCACAGATAGTTTGAGAAGTCGTGTCCAAGAAATATTCAGTACTACTTCCATTATGCTTTGTTTTCCTGAGTCGCTGCCTATGTCCTGTCTTCCCAGGTCATCTATCATTTATTCCATCATCCAGCTTTTTCTGTCAGAACTGGTCTGTACAGCCGGGTGGTGGCTCACACCTGTAATCCCAGAACTTTGGGAGGCTGAGGCGAGTGGATCACCTAAGGTCAGGAGTTTAAGACCAGCCTGGCCAACATGATGAAACCTTGTCCTAAAAACACAAAAATTAGCTGGGTGTGGTGGCTCATGCCTGTAGTCCCAGCTACTTGGGAGGCTGAGACAGGAGAATCTCTTGAACTCAGGAGGTGGAGGTTGCAGTGAGCTGAGATACTGCCACTGCACTCCAGCCTGCGTGACAGAGCGAGACTCCATCTCAAAAAAAAAAAACCTAATCTGTACATTGAGTAATCTATCCCTTTTTTGCACCCTTCTCCAGCATCCCAAAGTCTTTCACTGAGATTTAAGAAAATAACATTGTATCATCAAGACTGTCCTAAATTCTCAGTCTCACTTCTAAGTGTTTTCAACAACCACATGCATATGCATACACCTCTGCTTCATCATTTTCTAAACTATTTTGTTCCTGCTTTTTTTCTTTCACCTTCATGAATAGTCTCTATTTTTTTCAATCAACAAACTTGTTCTAGTTTCACCTGTCTAAAATATCTGTCTAATCTATCATTTATTATCAGTCATCTATTCTTTATAATTTATCTATTATCTATCTAGCTATTACAACATAACATTCTTTTCCAAATACTGTCTCATTCCACAATTCCTCTTCATAAACATAAGTGAATGAATAAATTTTGAAAGAAGGGTCTATCCTTACTGCCTGTACTTTCTCATTTACCCTTCCCTCCTCACTGCATCCCTGCTACTGCAATAAACTGCTTAATTGATGTATCAGCAATATTTAATGAAAAATACTACTTTGTATTCTTACATCAGTTTATTTCTTCATGTTCTGTTTTCTTGTCACCCTCTATTTTCTTCTAGCTTATTGCTCACTCCATCTCAGTTTCTGGTGCCTGATGCTCCTTTTACGTCATTTGAGCTTAGATCAGGACTCGATCATCAAGCCTACTTTTCTTTTCTGAATATATCATCTTTCTCAGGCAATCTCATGCAGTTCCATGACTATAAAAAACACCCATATGCTGAGACTCTCAAATGTCTATCTCCAGCCTTAACTTTTCATCCAAAATGTAGCCTCATTTCTGCAACAGCTTACTTGACATCTCCATTTAGACAACTATTAGGTCTGTCCAATTCAAGACATCCTGAAGGAACTCATAATTTTCTCTTCTACATGTGTCTTTTCCCTATGCTTCCCTTTCTTAGTAAATGACACCAGTACTAACTTAGTACTTAAACCAAAAAATTGATTATCTTTGTTGATTTTCATACATTTTAACCTTTCCTTTAGAAAATATTTTCATCTCTACTTCCAAAATATATCGCAGATTCTTTCACTTGTCCTCCACTGCTTCATTAACATACTTGGCTGGATCATGTTTATAACTAGATGAGACTATATTAATAGCCTTCACTGGTCTTTGTGTAAGCTTCCTTCTTATGCTATTCTCCAAGCATCAGTCACACTAAATAGTTGAATCACTCATCATGCAAGCATTTAAAACTTTTTAGTAACTCTTTGTACAATTATAATAATATCGAAAATTATTGTAGTAATGTAAAAGTATTTGCTTTCTGCTCCTCTCTCAGAAATCCCCGAAATATTTCTACACTTGTTATCAATCTAGTCACATTGGCTTTCAGAGAGCTCACAGCATTTGTGTTTGCTGTTCCTTTTGCCTATAATATTCTTCCTTGGCTTCTCAATATTTATATGCATGTCTTGTCTGAAACCATGGCCCTTGACAGATCCTTCTCAGCCAATCAATTTAAAGGTATTCTCCATTGTTCAGTATCACAATACTCCCTTCTATTTTTATCAAAGTGTATATCACTAACTGATACTATCTTGTTTGTGTGTGATTTTGTTTTTCTTGTTTATAGTCTTCCCACCTTCTTCTAAATTAAATGTATGTCCCTGAATTTATTAATAAAGTTTGTCTTGATATGTGCTATACTTAGAAGAAGGCTTACTGGAAGTCTGAAATATTTTTTAAATGAATGAGATTTAGAAGCAGCTGAATTAACAGCTACTGGCCAGAGGTTATTTTAAACAAGAAGTTATTTAGGTCATGTTTTATATGTATATTTGATCATTCAAGTTAATTTTAGTATTTATCTAGAGATTCAAACAGTTATGCTAATTTAAATTTTTCTCTAGTGGTTTTACCCAGACAAGAAAATGGTGGGAAAACTGATGTTACATAAAATGAAATATCTCTAGGAGCAAAGGAAAATAAATAAAAATATAAAAGATACCAAAGGTTTTATTTTTCTTTTCTATTTTCCTTTTATTTTAGTTGGCACACACAATTATATATATTTTTGGGATACAGTGCAATATTTTGAAACATGTATACAAGTGCAATGATCAAATCAGGGTATTTAACATATCTATCACCTTGAACATTCATCATTTGTGTTGTGAACATTAAAAATCCTCTCTTCTAGCGTTTGTAAATATACACTAAATTATTTTTAACCATATTCATCCTAAACTGCTACAGAACATTAGAATGTATTCCTCCCATCCAGGTGTAGCTTTATATCCACTAACCAAACTCTCTTTGTCCCCCCTATTCCCACTACTTCTCCAGATGCTAATAACCACAACTCCACTCTCTGCCTTTGTAAGCTCAATTTTCCTTTAGCTCCCACATATGAGTGAGAACATGTGATATTTATCTTTCTGTGCCTGACTTATTTCACTTAACCTAATGTCCTCCAGTATCATGCATGTTGCCACAAATGAAAGGATTTTCTTCTTTTTTTATGGCTGAACAGTATCCCATTGTGACTACATACCACATTTTCTTTGTCCATACATCTTTTGATGTTGATGCCATATTTTTGCTATTGTGAATAAAGATGCAGAAAGCATGGAGTTCAAATATCTCTTTGATACACTGATTTCCTTTCCTTTGGATATAATACTCAGTAATTGGATTGCTGGATCATATGGCAATTATAGTTTTCATTTTTAGGGAAACCTACATACAGTTTTCCATCATATATGCATTAGTTTACATTCCCACCAACAGTATATGTTTTAAGAGTTCTCTCAAATGATTATTTTAAAATATAGTTACTATAAATAAATGAAAACTGCTTTAATAGACCTTACCATTTCAAATGGTTACAAGAAAGAAAATTATCTGCTTTTACAGATTATTTGTTTTTCAACTCTGTGACTTGGAAAGGGACTAAGTATACTGACAAAGCAAAAAATAATGTAACTTCATTAAACATGCTAATTTAGATTCCTCTTAAAAATGCCAAACTATATTTTATTACTTTTTCAATTACAACTAATCTATTTTTGAAGTTCTAATTAAGTGCCTGAATGAGAAAAAATGTTCTTGTTTTAGTTTTTAAAGGATTAGTGGTTGTTTCATTGACTGAAACATGAAATATGAATTAAAAAATTTATTTCTGGATGCAATAACAAAATTTTAGGTTTTGAGTAACAGTGAACTGAAAACTTTAGAAATATTGTGTATGTGTTTTATTTTAACTGTGTTCTCTTAAAATGTTGTAAAAAAGTATATTTCCAGTTTAAACTGGCATATCTTAAATTTGCATTTGGGGACAGAGATGGATATTAGCACCATGCTTTGAAAATTTTAGTTCTTACTTTCAATTATTGAAAGTATTATTTTGTCTCACCAGAAGAATATAACTGCCACAGTTCAAGTTATCATAGATATCCCCTGTGGTATCATATTTTACTCCATGAGAGTCTATGTGTGTTGATGTATAAAGATATGCTTACTGTAAATATATAAAAATTTTTCTTCAAACCTTTTGTCTGTCTATACTCTCTAAATAATTGGTTTGACTTGGGAAAAAGTCTTAATTTAAAAGTGAAATTTCTTCAAATTTTCAAAGACCATTAATTATTTCACAGAATTTTATTATTTTTAGAAAAGTATATTTAGTGAGGGAATATAATGATAGAACATTTTTATTATTTATATAAGTTTTACATCAGCTAATTTATATAAGATACAGCATTTCCTTTGTAATTCATGTGTATTTGGTTGGAAAAATAGGGCTAGTTTACTGATGAAGTGAGTAGACACATGGGAAAAAACTGGAACAAGTTCTAACACTGTAGAATCTTAGTTTAATACACAAACCAGGGTTGATAAAGTGAATAAGAGAGAAACATTAAAATATGAACCATAGGCCAGGTGCGGTGGCTTGTGCCTGTAATCTCAGCACTTTGGGAGGCTGGGGTGGGTGGATCACTTGAGGTGAGGAGTTCAAGACCAGCCTGGCCAACAAGGTGAAACCCCGTCTCTACTAAAAATATAAAAATCAGCTGGGCATGCTGGCATGTCCCTGTACTTCCAGCTACTCAAGAGGCTGAGTTAGGAGAGTCGCTTGAGCCTGGGAGGCAGAGATTGCAGTGAGCCGAGATCGCAGCACTGCACTCCAGCCTGGGCAACAGAGTGAGACTCAGTCTCAAATAAATAAATATATATATGAATATAATCCCCAAAACATGAATCATGGCTAAATCTCTAAATATCTTTGGTTTTGGTTTTATTTTCATAATTAGTTGATGTAAAAAGAGTGATCAAGGAGAAAAAAATCTATTAAAAGAAATTCTAACCAAAATGTTACTTTTTCAGATTATCAAGTCTGCCGTGATGTCTATCTACATTTGGGCAAGAATACAAATGAAGGTTCACCTGAAAGTTATGAAGGAGGCTAAGAAATTGTTACATAATACGTAATATAATTTTCTACCATGTAAAATATAACTCTATAAAAACAGAATTGAAGCACATGTGGAATGATATGTTTTTTATGTCACTGAAAGTCCACAAAATATCAAATACAGCTGTATTTCAATGATATTGTACATGTCTTGGTGTTCCTTGCTGGAACAGTGATATCTGTATTATTAGAGATAAATATAAATTACTTCTATGGTTTTTATGGTTTTAGGTCTTAACATTTAAGTCTTTATTCCATCTTGAGTTAATTTTTGTAGAAGATGTAAGGAAGGGGTCCGGTTTCAGTTTTCTGCATATGGCTAGTCAGTTTTCCCAACACCATTTATTAAATAGGGAATCCTTTCCCCATTGCTTGTTTTTGTCAGGTTTGTCAAAGATCAGATGGATGTAGATGTGTGGCATTATTTCTGAGGCCTCTGTTCTGTTCCATTGGTCTATATATCTGTTTTGGTACCAGTACCATGCTGTTTTGATTACTGTGCCTTTTAGTATAATTTGAAGTCAGGTAGCATGATGCCTCTTTCTACTTAGGATTGTCTCAGCTATGTGGGCTCTTTTTTGGTTCTATATGAAATGTAAAGTAGTTTTTTCTAATTCTGTGAAGAAAGTCAATGGTAGCTTTATGGGGATACCATTCAGGACATAGGCATGGGCAAAGACTTCATGAGTAAAACACCAAAAGCAATGGCAACAAAAGTCAAAATTGAATTGGATCTAATTAAGCTAAAGAGCTTCTGCACAGCAAAAGAAACTAGCATCAGAGTGAACAGGCAACCTACAGAATGGGAGAAAATTTTTGCAATCTACTCATCTGACAAAGGGCTAATATCCAGAATCTACAGAGAACTCAAACAAATTTATAAGAGAAAAACAAAAAACTCCATCAAAAAGTGGGCAAAGGATGTAAGCAGACACTTCTCAAAAGAAGACATTTATGCAGCCAACAAACATATGTAAAAAAGCTCATCATCACTGGTCATCAGAGAAATGCATATCAAAACCACAATGAGATACTATCTCATGCCAGTTAGAATGGCAATCATTAAATAGTCAAGAAATAACAGATGCTAGAGAGGATATGGAGAAATAGAAACACTTTTACACTGTTGGTGGGAGTGTAATTTCAGAAGCATGTGCTCCTTGTGGAAGACAGTGTGGCGATTCCTCAAGGATCTAGAACCAGAAATACCATTTGACCCAGCAATCTCATTACTGGATATATACCCGAAATATTATAAATCATTCTACTATAAAGACACATGCACACATATGTTTATTGCAGTACTGTTTACAATAGCAAAGACTTGGAACCAACCCAAATGCCCATCAATAATAGACTGGATAAAGAAAATGTGGCACATATCCACCATGGAATACTATGCAACCATAAAAAGGGTGAGTTCATGTCCTTTGCAGGGACATTGATGAAGCTGGAAACCATCACTCTCAGCAAACTGATACAGAAACAGAAAACCAAACACTGCATGTTCTTACTCATAAGTGGGAGTTGAACAATGAGAACACATGGACACATGGAGGGGAACATCACACACCAGGGCCTGTTGGGGGATGGAGGGCTTGGGGAGGGATAGCATTAGGATAAATACCTAATATAGATGATGGGTTGATGGGGGCAGCAAACCACCATGGCACGTGTATACCTATGTAACAAACCTGCACATTCTGCACATGTATCCCAGAACTTAAAGTATACATATAAAAAAGAAATAAACATAAATTGCAAATTATTATATATAATATACATTTGTATTTCAGATAAATCACAAAATAATAATATTGTAATTGCTAATTTGTGATCATTTGTGTTCTGTTGACAATAATGCCCAATTATATATTTGAGTCATTATAATTCTAAGATAGTCATTAAGTAATTTCAATTTAGATATATTTTGCTCTATTGAAACAGGAATAACTGTAATTATCAATATAATTTTTCAGACCTTATATGAATTCAGATATTAACCATTGATATCATACTTAAAGTCTGTAAAAAATCATATATACTGATGGATAGAAGCTATTGAAATTTTTTATTATATGCAACTTTATTACTTATATTCCAATTTTTACTATCTATTAGCAATATATAAATCCATTCAGTACTTCTTAAATATTTTTAATTGTTTTTAAGGTATAGTATTATAAAGAAATCAGAAAATAGCTCAATTTACTATTTATATTTTTTCAAGGAAAATTTACCTTGATTGATAGTAGCCAGGAAAGAATCTGAAAATAATGATTGGGTTATTCATTTGGATTTTTTGTATATAATTCTTTTTCAGTCATGCAAGTAATTTTTGTTTTTCTGTTCTAATTTTCTTGGAATATTGAAATGTTACTTTAGTTGAATATTTCACATGTACTACCTTTGATTACCTTTTTTCTTTAATTTCTTTCTTAAAATTAAATAGCCAAAAGTTACATTTTTAGGTTTTTAAAACTTTTTATAACAATTTATTTTGCAAGAATTTATTGTATTTATGCTATCTGAAAAATTTATTGATTTTATTGTCTTTCCTCTTTATTAAACCGTGTCTGTTTCCTATGAGAGCAATGAAACAACTCAGGAATCTTTAATTTGGACATGATTGCAACAGACAAGAAAGAAGATTTCTCGGGGGCCAAAACAGTGTTAGGAGACTTGATGTTTTGATTATGTATGATTTCATGCCAGTTTTGACCATTAGATCCTGAGTAATATAGGCATCCATATGTTCTCTCATATGTTTATTTATTTTTTAACCTGCTTTTGAGATGTAGCACTCTCTAAAGCCAAAGCCTAGAGTAGAGAAGTATAGGAGCAGTTACAGATAATTCTTTTTGCCTTCATCATACCCATCCTAGACTGGCTGCCTGACTTCACTATCACTTACTGACTTGGACCTGGTATTTTCTTAGGACTGTTTATAGCGATAGCCCCTGTGATTGAGTTTTGAGAATCCTGTTGGTTTATTCCATTGTCTCAGATATTTTACTCTTGTGACTAACTTTGCTGTCTAAAATATGTTTGATGCCCTGACTACACCTGCTGCCAATTTGTCTCCTCCACCAAAAACTATCCTATTCAACTCTTGTTTCCTCCCCTCTCTTTGCTAAGCTACTACAGCTAAAATTAGCCATAATTTCTTTTAAAACACATAGTTTGCTTAATGTGGGCTGAAATAAAAATTGTGACAAGACATAAAATTTAATAAACTGTGATAGTACAATAATACATAGGAAATGTATTATTATTTCACTACCTATTGAAGGACTAAACTAATATTCAGTTTATTACCCAGATACTTCCATGCCTCATTTCTCATTTTTCATTATGAAACAAAGATCAAAATATAATCATTTAAATAGAGTTGAAATTCTATTTCACTTTGGAAAAAAAGTACACACTTTTAAATGTAGATCAAAGTGAATAAAGTCAATACAATGAAAGAATATAAGCTAAATACTTTTGAGAACAGAATTTGCATTGCCAAATATATAAAAGAATTTCAGCCTTAAAAAGAAAGGCTGTTATTGAGTAAAATGGTCTCTTATGTGGTTGCAATGGAAGGAAGTTTTCCATCTGTGTCTGGAATTAATAGCATCTGAAAAAAGAAATTGAATGCACAATGATTCTTCTACTTGGCAATATGAACATAGATATATTAGCTGTCTTGAGACAAAAAAACACCCAGAAGCAAAGAATATTAAATGAAACAATGGTGAGTTAGATAACTATTGTGAGCTACAGAGAGAAGATGGAAAGTTGTAATGCATTTATATGAAGCCAGGCACCACAACTAGCACTGGAAAGTGCTGTATGGAATAAAATTAAGAATGCTCTTAGCTAGCTCCCTTGCTAGTGACCTTAAGGAATTCCTTTAGAATAGACCAGTTTACAGACTTGATGGTATTTGCAAGAGGAAAATGAATGTAGGGAAGCACATAGGGACCCAGAAAATGGCAAGAAAAATAAAATCATTTGTTGGTAAGCCCTTTGACCATTGCATGAATGTAGAAATTTTTAAAAATAATGTAAAAACAAAACAGAAGATAGAATCATGATTTTTAGAAGAAATGAGACTCAAAGATCAGTTTATCTAGCCTCTCAATCATTAAACAAAGTTCTAGAGTAATGAGAATATATTTGTTCCAAGGAGAATATTGTTAATTAAAAAAATTTTAAGACTCATATTTTCACAAATCAAAACACTACTTAATTTATACCCTATATTTTTATAATGACTTTCAAGCTAAAACTGATGTGATTTCTAGGGGACTTAAAAATTTGTTGTATATGTGATGTTGTTATTAAAATAGCAATTGCTTTAGCTGAGTCAGTTTGCCTCTTACCTAGAATTTTTGCAGGAAAAGCTGAATTTAAGTAATTAAGTGTGACAGTTAACTATTGCACATAACTTGTTACCAATATATTTTATATATCAAATCCCTATTCAGATCATGTCAGAGGAAACATAATTTAACTGATAATATTTTTTAAGGATGAGGTATAAACACCTGCTAAAAAGGAAGCAGAAAATAACAATTTTTAGTGAGTATAGAAGTGTAATAATTTCTAGGGCATTTACTCTTTAAAAATATTTATGGGCCAGGAGCGGTGGTGGCTCACGCCTGTAATCCCAGCACTTTGGGAGGCCGAGGCAGGCGGATAACGAGGTCAGGAATTCGAGACCATCCTGACTAACATGGTGAAATCCTGTCTCTACTAAAAATACAAAAAATTAGCTGGGCATGGTGGCGGGCACCTGTAGTCCCAGCTACTCGGGAGGCTGAGGCAGGAGAATGGCGTGAACCCAGGAGGCGGAGCTTGCAGTGAGCCGAGATCCCGCCACTGCACCTCAGACTGGGCAACAGAGCGAGACTCTGTCTCAAAAAAAAAAAATATATATATATATATATATTTTTTATATATATAAATTCATATATATATGAATTTGATACTTAACCTGTATACTAAACTCTATAAAAAATATCAGTATTTTTAAATTTTTTACTTGTAATTTAAAAAACTTGATGTGAAGAATAAAGTGTGCCTATAATGACAAAGTACTTTTTAATGCATTTATGTAGTTACTTCATTTAAACTTGCTGATATGTTTTGGATGTTTGTCTCTTCAAAGTTTCATATGGAAATGTGATTCCCAATTTTAGAGGTGGGGCTTGGTGGGAAGTGATTGGATCATGGGGGTGGATCCCTCATGAATGGTTTAGCACCATTCCCTTGGTGATAAATGAGTTTCTCAAACAATTAGTTCATGTGAGGTCTGCTTGTTTAAAAGAATCTAGGACCCCCTGCCCTTCTCTCTCTCTCTCTGGCTCCCACTCTCTCCATGTGATGTGCTTGCTCCCCCTTTACCTTTCACCATGACTGTAAACTTCCTGAGGTCCTAGCCAGAAGCAGATGCTGGCAACATGTTTCCTGTACAGCCTACAGAACTGTGAACTAATTAATCTTCTTTTCTCTATAAATTACCCAGTCTCAGGTATTTATTCATAGAGATGCAAAAACAGAATGACACACTTGCCTAGTAAGAAATGTGTTGGTATTAAATGCGTTGTTTTTATTAAAAATTGTAATAACACTTTTAATTCATTTGCTCATTCATGGATGCAACATTTCAGTAGATATTTTTTACTTAGAGGACTGTGAGTGTTAGAAATTTTTATTATTTTACATGAAAGATAAGCTAATACAATTGTGTCAGTAAGTCTAGACATTTTCCAATGGTAATAAATGCCTAAATAGTTTCAAGGGTTCTCTCTCTGTGTTTATGTTGACTGTTGAAACATATTTATGGGACATATTTGAATTGAGCTGAATGCTTTTACATTTTAAGAACAACTTCTGGGAAATAATATGTAAACAGATGAAAATAAAACTCTAAAAAGATGTTCCTGATTAAGTCCTATGATCAGTGCTACAAACACATTCCTTCACAACACTGTGGGCAAGTTCTTTGGCACATCATTTAACATCCTAAAAACTAGGCCTCCTTCTCATGGTTTTGCACAGCAGTCAAGTATTTTAAAATTCCATGTATATATAACCTTGTTAACAGCATTGAGGTTTTCCCAGACATGTGCATTTCCCTAGAATATTCTATATTCAGCCCTCCCGTTTTTTATAGTAGGGTTAATTCCAACTGCTCCTTTAAGACACAACTTTAAATAAGACAGAGCTATACTCACTCATCACTCAACTTTGCTAATAGTCCCATCATCTCATATATAACTATTTTTGTAATTATCAGTTTAATATCATACTATAATAGTGTAATGATGGATACTCATAAATGTAATTATGCATATGATTATTATGTACAATTATCTACCACTCACTAGAGACAGCTCTACATATTGAAAAATGAGAAGAAACAGTTCTGTGATATAAAATACTATAGAATAAGAAATGCCTAATGTTTGCGAAGAGAAAAGAAGGATGCTTTGGAGAATTCTAGGAAGCGTATACCAAATAAAGGAGGTTGACTTTCATTATTTAAAAAAAGGTAATGAGTGACAAATATAATTTTTAAATGAGAAGTGAAACTTAAACATACTTTTGAAATATTCCCATCAAGAATAATTAAAATTTCTTTTTAAGTTTGGGGCCTAAATGGTTGCCATGAGCAGTTGTGATTTTAGAAGAACAGAAGAAAACAGAAGAAACTGTTCTCTACATATGCAATTGATTAAGAATCTATTACTATACACAGAGAAGAGAAAAAATCAATATTTTTATAAGCTACATTATCTGTATTACAAGAAGTTCTCTTTCATACATAACAAGTTATTTCTCTCATTGTTTCATAATTACCCATACATTAAATATTTACAGTTTTGTTCTTCTTTAAAGGTATAGAGAAACTGGTGGCCACTATTTATAGAATGATTCTATTTGCTATTAAAATTAACCAAATACAATTTTTGCCTTTTCAAAGTATTTTAAATATTTTGAGATTTAATGCTACGTTGAATAGAGCAATCTTTCCATGAATTAAGTGTTTTCTAAATATAATGAATATACTTTAAAGTAACATGTCTCTATTTTTTTTTTTTTTTTAAATTTATTTTTTTATTGATAATTCTTGGGTGTTTCTCACAGAGGGGGATTTGGCAGGGTCATGGGACAATAGTGGAGGGAAGGTCAGCAGATAAACAAGTGAACAAAGGTCTCTGGTTTTCCTAGGCAGAGGACCCTGCGGCCTTCCGCAGTGTTTGTGTCCCTGATTACTTGAGATTAGGGATTGGTGATGACTCTTAAGGAGCATGCTGCCTTCAAGCATCTGTTTAACAAAGCACATCTTGCACCGCCCTTAATCCATTTAACCCTGAGTGCACACAGCACATGTTTCAGAGAGCACAGGGTTGGGGGTAAGGTCACAGATCAACAGGATCCCAAGGCAGAAGAATTTTTCTTAGTGCAGAACAAAATGAAAAGTCTCCCATGTCTACTTCTTTCTACACAGACACGGCAACCATCCGATTTCTCAATCTTTTCCCTATTTTTTTATGAAACCAGAATGCCCTACGTAAAAACAAGGGCCACAGATTAATGAAAATATTCGAGAAATATTATTTTTGCTATCCCTTTTCAAGCACACCAATCATAATGCTAGCTCCTAACATTTATAAAGTACTTAAAATGTACTAGCTATTGTTATAATCAGTTTACATACTGTAAATCATTTAATCATTGCAAAAAATTTTGTAAAGTGATTTGTTATCCTCATTTGATGGATAAAACTGAAACACAAAATGATAAAAAGCCCTGCCTATTCTCATATGATAAACACTTGTGGAGATTTGAACGTTACCAATCTAGCTCAAAGAACAGCCAAATTCTTTGTCAGTTCATAACAAGGATGGTCTTTACTCCAGTTTCCAATAACGCGTTTATCTGTTTCATCTGAAGCTTCTTCAGAATGGTCTTATTTCTCATATTTCTATCAGCATTTGTGTAATGACCACTTAACTAATCTCTAAAGAGTTCAAAACTTTCCGTAGTCTTCTTTTCTTCAAATCTCTCACAACAATTTAAACTTTTTCTATTGTGCTCCTTCAAATTATTCTACCTTCTTCTGCTCATTACCCAGTTTCACAGCTGTTTTCACGTATTCAGTTGTTATTAGTGACACCACCCTCCTGGTACCAATTTTCTGTCTTTATTTTCTGTTCTTAGAATACCTAAAACCGACTTATTTATAAAGAACATAAACACACTTATTACAAGTATGAAGACTAAGAAGTCCCAGCTTGAGGGACTTCTTACAAAGGAAGAAGAAACAAAATAGAATTGGGTTTTTTATTTTAATTACTTTTTTTTGAGACAGAGTCTCACTCTGTCCCCAGGCTGGAGTGCAGTGGCACGATCTCAGCTCACTGCAAGCTCCGCAAACCGGGTTCACGCCATTCTGCTGCCTCAGCCTCCCGAGTTAGCTGGGACTACAGGTGCCTGCCACTGCGCCTGGCTTTTTTTTTTTTTTTTTTTTTTGGTATTTTCAGTAGAGATGGGGTTTCACCGTGTTAGCCAGGATGGTCTCGATCTCCTGACCTCGTGATCCGCCCACCTCGGCCTCCCAAAGTGCTGGGATTACAGGCGTGAGCCACCACGCCCAGCCAGAATTGGGTTTTCTTAAAGGCTGGGGAGGATAATGGAGAGGGGGAAAAAGAAGAGGTTGGTTAATGGATATGAAATTACAGCTAGATAAGATTACATTGTAAAATTATTTAGCACTGTAGAGTGACTATAGTTAACAAAAATTTTTTGTAGATTTCCAAATAGCCTGAAGAGAAGATTATGAATGTTCCTAACACAAAAGAATTATAAATGTTTGAGATGGATTTGCTAATTATCCTGATTTGATATATTACATTTTGTACACATATATTAAAATATTACACTGTATAATATGTGCAATTGTTATAAGCCAATTAAAAATAACAAATATAAATAAGTAACGTTAAAATACCTCTTTTCTGCATTAAAAGGATACACTACATTGTATTAATAAAATGTGATTTTCTTTAATTTCCTTAAGCATGTTTCCATAAATATCAAATTAATATTAAATATATTTTTCTAGGAATACTGATGAAGACCAATATTAAGTTTTTTATCTTTTTATTTATTCATTTATTTAAAATTTTTCTTCCAGCTTTTACGTTGAATTCAGGGGATACATGTAAAATTTTGTTACATGTGTAAATTGGGTGTTGTGGTTGTTTTATATGCAAATTATTTTATCACCCAGGTAGTGAGCATAGTACCCAATAGATAGTTTTTCTATTCTTACTCTCCTCTCAGTCTCCAACCTCAAGTAGTCCCTGGTGTCTCTTGTTCTTCTTTTTGTATCCATGTGTACTCAATGTATAGCTCCTACTTTTAAGTGAGAATATGTGGTATTTGGTTTTCTGTTATGGCATTAATTCCTTTAGGATAATGGCCTCCAGCAGCATCCATGTTGCTGTAAAGGACAAAATTTAATTCTTTTTTATGGCCATATAGTATTCTATGGTGTATATGTACCAATTTTATTTTTCAAGTCCACTGTTGATTGGCATCTAAGTTGATTCCACATCTTTGTTATTGTGAAAAGTGCTGTGATTAACATATGTGTGCATGTGTCTTTTTGGTTGAATAATTTATATTCCTTTAGGTATGTACCCAGTAATGTGATTGTTGGGTCAAATAGTTCTGTTTCAAGTATTTTGAGATTCTCCGAACTGTTTTCCACAGTGGCTGATAATTTACATTCCCACTACCAGTATATAAGTTTTTCCTTTCTTCTTTTTTTTTTTTTTTGTTTTTGCAACTTCACAGTCATCTTTTTTTTTTTTTTGACTTTTTAATAGCCATTTTGACTGGTGTGAGAAGGTATCTCATTGTGCATTTGATTTGCACTTCTCTAAAGATTAGTGAGGTTAAACATTTTTTCAAATGTTTGTTAGCTGCATATATGTCTGCTTTTTAAAAGTGACTGTTCATATTCTTCGCCTATTTTTATGGGGTTGTTTACCCTATAGATTCTGGGTATTAGACATTTGTCAGATGCATAGTTTGCAAATATTTTCTCCTGCTCTGTAGGTTGTATGTTTACTCCATATATATGTATATGTGTGTATATATATATTTTGTTTGTTTGTTTGTTTTTTTGCTGTGCAGAAACTCTTTAGCTCGATTAGGTCCCACTTATCAATTTCTGTTTTGGTTAGAATTGCTTTTGGAGTCTTCATTATAAAATCTTTGCCAGGGCCTATGTCCAGAGTGGTATGTTCTAGTTTTCTTCCAGGGTTTATGTAATTTTAGGTTTTACATTTAAATTTTTAATCCATCTTGAGTTTATTTTTGTATATGGTGTAAAGGAAGGGTCCAGTTTCAGTCTTGTGCATGTGGCTAGCAAATTATCTCTGCAGCATTTATGGAATAGAAAGTCATTTTCCTATTGTTTGTTTTTCTCAACTTTGTTGAAGATTAGATGGTTGTAGGTGCATGGCTTTATTTCTGGGTTCCCTAACCTTGTCCATTGGTCTATGTGTTTGTTTTTGTACCAGTACCATGCAGTTTTATTTACTGTAGCCTTGTAGTGTAGTTTGAAGTTGAGTTGTATAACATCTTCTATTGGATTGCAGCCCAAACTACAACACCAAAAATACTTTGCTAATATAACCCCAATAAAACCAATGGGAAGAATTCAGCCACAAATTAAGACCCTTGCAGAAAACTTCAGACCTCTGAAAATATCTAGAAATAAAACCAACTAAATATATGCAAATTACACCAGAGTTAAAAGAATATCAGCCCACACAAATGAGAAATATCTAGCACAAGAACTCTGGCAACTCTAGAACCCAGAGTTTCTTACCTCCAAATGATCCCACTAGCTCTTCAGCAATGATTAACCAGAGTGAGATGGCTGAAATGACAGACAGAATTCAAAACCTGGATGGCAGCAAAGATTTTTGAGATTCAGGAGAAAGTTAAAACTCAATCCAAGAATTCTATGGAATCCAATAAAAATATTCAAGAGTTCAAAGATGAAATAGTCATTTTAAGAAATAACCAAACTGATGTGATAAAACTGAAAAACTCAGTATGAGAATTTCTTAACACAGTCAGAAGTATTAACAGCAGAATATACCAAGCTGAGGAAAGAATCTCAGAGGTTTAAGCCCAGTTTTTTGAATCAACTTATGCAGACCTAAATAAAGAAAAAAAGAATAAAAAAACAATGAATTAAACCTTTGAGGAATATGGGGTTATGTAAAGAGTACAAACCTATAACTAACTGGCACCCCTGAAAGAGAGGGAGAGTAAACAACTTAGAAAACCTATTCAAAGATATTGTTCATGAAAATTTCCCCAACCTTGCTAAAGAGATTGCAATTCAAATTCAGAAAACTCAGAGAACCCCTGAAAAATACTATATAAGACAACCACTGTCAAGAAATAAAGTCTCAGATTCTCCAAGGTCATCATGAAAAGAAAAAAACATTAAAGACAGCTAGAAAGAAGGGGCAGGTCACCTACAAAGGGAATTCCACTGGGTTAGTTGTGGAACTTCCAGCAGAAATCTTAAAAGCCCAAAGCACTGGGGTCTATATTCAGCATCCTTAAATAAAATAAATTTCAACCAAGAATGTTATAATCAGCCATAGTAAGCAACATAAGCCAAGGAGAAATAAGGTCCTTTTCAAACAAGCAAATGCTAAAGGAATTTGTTATCAACACACCTGCCTTAGAATAGATCCATAAGAGAATGCTGAACATAGAAAGGAAAGACTGTTGCTAGCCACCACAAAACCACACTTAAGTTCACAAACCCCAGACACTATAAAACAACTACACGATCAAGTCTGCATAACAACCAGCCAACAGCATGATGACAGAATCAAATCCACACATATCTATATTAATCTTGAACATAAATGGGCTAAATGCTCCACTTAACAAGAAACAGAATTTGAAGTTGGATAAAGTATCAAGACCCAAGTGTATGCTGTCTTCAGGAGACTCACCTCACATGAAATGACAAACATAGGCTGAAAGTATTGGGATGAAGAAAAATCAAGCAAGCAGAAAACAAAAAAGAGCAAGAGTTGCTATTCTTATTTGAGACAAAACAGAGTTTAGTAATGATCAAAAAAGACAAAGAGCATTACATAATAATAAAGAGTTCAATTCAACATGAAGTTTTTATTTTTTTAAAAATTCGTTAGATTCTGCCCCCACAGTATCCTTTAAGATGATTTTACTATTGAAATCATGAATCTCATACATTGCCTTGGTGATTTGCTTTATAAAAATTCCATTTGCCATCACTGTGGTATGAATTATGAAGAAAAATGTTAAACGACTTAAATCCAAGGCAAAAGCATTTATGGAAAAAAGGAAACTAGATATAACTTCTTATTTCAGTGAAAGATTGATTTTTATAGCCAGAATAATGGTATCATAAGTAATTGTATCATTGTTATAGGCTTCATGTCTAGTTTAGATATTTTATTTTGCAAGTTATTAAATTACTGTTGTATTGATATTTTCATTATCTTCATAAAATGTTGCCTTAAGGATTTATTTGTCATTTATTTGCTCAGGTGTAAGTAACAGTATAAAAATTTAACACTTTAAAATTTTTAATAGGATATAAGACACTTAAATATAACATTTACTTAAAATTTTGTTAGAAATTCAGTTATTTTTATTATATTAAATTCAGTTATTTAAAATTACACATTGAAGCATAAAACAAGACAGTACTTAATTACCTTACTATAAATATTGTGTGTCATTACACAGGTAATGAACACTTATTCTAGTCACACATTTTGACACTCACAGGTTTACAAAAGATTCTCATGTTCAGGGGAGAATGCAATAATTTCCAGAGACCAGAATTGTTAAATTTAATACACTTAAATAATTTTTGAAAATATTTCTTCCTTTTTCTTTGTTAGATATGGTTCCAGAAAGACTTGGAATATTTTCAAATAAAATAACAGAGTTTTAAAATGTACAGAGATCTTTGAGATAGCTAATCCATTTCCTTCAACTTATTAAAAAAATTTTATGTACATCTCTAGTACAAATTTATAAAAAATATGGCTGTGTTATTGGCATATGTACCTTGAGCTTGGCTGATTTATCGATAAATTCCACCTGCCTACAAGGATGAGATCATAGTAGGGTATGTCAGTCACTATGTATAAGTAAGCTGACTAATGATTAATACAGTAAAAGTAATTCTATACATAAAAGGATAGTTGAAATTTTTTTTTGAGATGGAGTCTCACTCTGTCACCCAGGCTGGAGTCCAGTGGTGTGATCTCAGCTCACTGCAAACTCTACCTCCCAGGGTTCAAGAGATTCACCTTCCTCAGCCTCCTGAGTAGCTGGGATTACAGGCGTGTGACCATGCCCAGCTAATTTTTGTATTTTTAGTAGAGATGGGGTTTCATCATGTTGGCCAGGCTGGTCTCGAATTCCTGACCTCATGATCCACCCACCTTGGCCTCCCAAAGTGCTGGGAATACAGGCGTGAGCCACTGCAACTGGCCCAATAGTTGCAAATTTTTATACATACATGCATACTTTCTTTACTATTTATAAAATGAAGTGGGTAGAAATGATGCCATCTAAAGTAATTTCCAGCTTCATAATTCTTAGAGTATATGCTCACTCTTTTCCTAATAGTTTGTAACTACTTTATTAATTTATATATGGAATTATTATATATAGCCTTATATTCTGAATCTCCTTTCTATCTCAAATACCCATATTTATATTCATGTAGCCAACAGTTCAAGGTTATTCACACTAATGAGATTTTACTCTTTCTCTGGGTACCATTTTTACTTTGAAAAATTAATCCTGTATTTTCAAGTTTCTTCATCTATAACATTCTTACAATGCAGATTATGTCACAGAGGTAGGACAGAATAATGTAGACTGAATGTTTATGATGACCCAAATTCACATGTTGAGATCCTAACCCCCAATGTGATAGTATAAGGAGGAATGGTCATTGATAGGTGATCAAGTAATGAGGCTGGAACACTAATGAACAGGATTAGTGCCTGTAATAGCATGTTCTCATACTGCTGTAAAGAACTACCTGAGACTGGGTAATTTATTAAGAAAAGAGGTTTGATTGACTAATATTTCCACAGGGTCTACAGGAAGCCTGGCTGGGATGCCTCAGAAAACTTACAATCATGGTGGAAGGAGAGAGAGAGAGAGTAAAGGGGGAAGCACTATACACTTTCAAACTACCAGATCTTGTGAGAACTGACTTACTATCACGAGAATAGCAAAAAGGAAGTCTGCCCCCATGATTCAGTCACTTCCCACCAGGCCCCTCCTAATCTGACATGAGATTTGGATGGTGTATTAGTCAGGGTTCTCTAAAGAGACAGAACTAATAGGAGATATATATATATATGAGTTTATTATATATATTGGAGTTTACTAAGTATTAATTTACACATTCACAAGGTCCCACAATAGGCTGTCTGCAAGCTTGAGGAACAAGGAGAGCCAGTCCAAGTCTCAAAACTAATGAACTTGGAGTTTGATGTTCAAGGACAGGAAGCATCCGGCATGGGACAAAAATGTAGGCTGGGAGGCTGGGCCCATCTCTCCTTTTCATTTTTTTCTGCCTGCTTTGTATTCGCTGCCAGCTGATTAGATGGTGACCACCAGACTAAGGGTGGGTCTGCCTTCCCCAGCCCACTGACTCAAATGTTAATCTCCTTTGGCAAAACCCTCACAGACACACCCAGGGTCAATACTTTGTATCCTTCAATCCAATCAAGTTGACACTCAAAATTACCCATGACAGATGGGGACACAGAGCCAAGCCATATCAGTGCCCTTATAAAAGAAGAATCAGATAAATTTCTTGCCCCTTCCACTATGTGAGAACAAAGAGAAAAGAATGCTGTCTGTGATTAAAAAAAAAAAAAAAAAAAAAAAAAACAGAACAGTGAGACTCCAGCACTTTGGGAGGCCAAGGTGGGTGGATCACAAGGTTAGGAGACAGAGACCATCCTGGAGCTACAGCCGTTAAACCAAAAACAAAAACCAGTAAGTAACTTTAGGTGACAAAAATATAGTTATAAGAATTGTTCCTGCTGGATAATGTATAGCATTGCAGGAAACAAACCTTAAAACTTGTTTTAAGGTCCTCTGTGGTAAAAGATCCTCAAATAAAACTGCTAAAATTCATATGCTTAACTTTGGATAAGACGAGTGTAAGTTAGAAAAATATTCAGAAAAAAATTCTACAGTTTGAAAAAGCAAAACTTGAGTTTGCCATGCTGTAAGAACTACATTGAATTCACACACATGAAATAATATGTAGGTATTATATTGGGTATTTATAAGTAATACAGAGATTATTTAAAGTATATGGGAGAAGCTGCACAGGTTATATGAAAAAACTAGGCCATTTTATATAAGGGATTTGAGCTTCCACAGATTTTGTTATCCATAGAGTTGGGGTGTGGGGATGGCGCGAAATGGGTTGCTGGGACAAATCTCTCATGGATACCAAGGGAAGACTGTATTCACTTACCTGGGCAGATCAACTCAGGTAATTAATACCATAGACATAACTGCCTTTTTGTACAATATTAACTTTAGGAGATGATCATAAATTAACCTTCTATCATTTCCTCTGTCTGGGCAAAGCATAAGCCTATGAAAATCTCTTTTAAGGGTTGATACCATCTACAAACTTTGTCACTCTGCTTACTAAAATTTTGATCTGACATGATCTTAGTTTTTGTTCACATTGGACTGGAGATACTAAATGTAAGGTTTAGTATCTGTGTAAATATAGTTCTTCTACATGCTGTGTTTTAAGTGAAAAAATAGAATATTGCCAGTGTTCTTTATCCACACAATTTCATAGAGGGAGTTTCATCAATGGCTTTTTCTTTATAATTGTAATACATGGAAAGTCCACAATATTCTCTTCTTTGCTAAGATACAGACAGTTATAAAGGAAAGAGAAATAAGAATGTAGGATTTTTTAAAAAGTTAGGCAATTGAAAGTTTAGAGAACAAGTATCCAAAATTTTGCCCAGCACTAACCTCAAATAAGGTGTCAGAACTACAGAAGGCTAACATTAACCACTCATATTTTCAGACAGAAAAGCATCCAGTACATGGGCAGAAAGAATAGGACATTTCTTTCATCTAAGAAGTCATATATCAATGTCTTCAGGTCATTCATGAAACATTTCTTAAACTCTTAAGTTTTCTTTTAATCCGTTTCAATCACTCTTTTATTAGAGAAATAAGTGAATGTTAGACTTCATCCAATGAAACAGAAATAATTTCTCATTGTAGCCAATACAAGTAGATAACCACAATGAATATCTATCTAATTAGTTGGATACCATTAAAAAATAGTGAAGTGATAATTTTATATAAAAGCAAGGCTAATTGTATAACTTATCTAAACTTAGAGTATGCAACAATTTTCTATTTAATGCACTGGAAAAGAAAAAAGTTATTAAAGTGCAATGTAATTTAGTAATTTAGGAAACCAATAATATACTGATTCTGGTGCAAAGTACATTATTTTCCTTCACTTCCCATAATTTGGACAATTTGTAATTGTCAAAAAAAAATGGACACTTGTTTTTTTACTCCAGATATTTCACACTTGATAGCAGTATCTAATTAATCAGCAATTGTCTAACACAGATTGTCAACAGAGAGTAGTTCTGTGAATATTTAAAGTGGAAGAAGAATTTATTTATAGATTTTAGGATTTTGAGAAAGTTTACATATGAAGGAAAAGAGAGAAAACCTATATTTGTAGAATAATACTTTTTTAATTAAAAAGAGCAAATCAAAAGATGTTTAAATATGTCTTGAATGTTAATCAAAAAGTATGTATTTATTTTTTACAAACCACTGGATCTTCCATTGTAAAAGATGTAAATAAATATACTATCACATATCCTATAAAAATTAGTCTTAACATTTAGTAAAAGGGGAATAGGTACATGTTTCAAACTATATATATAGAGTTATATAAACAATTTCAAAACATATATACCTATATGTACATGTATATATTATACATATATGTACATATATATGTGTGTATGGGTGTGTGTGTATCTATCTGTATATCTCTCAAAAGAGAAAAGCCAAGATGTAATATTTCTTTATTATTGCAACAATGCTACATAAAACATAGTCACAAAACTCAATGGTTTACTACAAAAAACATACACTTCTTAGCTGAACTTCTGCTGGGATCTTCTGAGCTATGTGTGACTGCTGGGGTGGGTTTGGTTGAGTTCAGTTGGGCCTACCTATGGGCTGCAGGTCACATTCAGGTCTTATTCACATATATTCACATATCTTCTTATTTGAGGACTCAGGTTGAAGGAGCAAGTGCTATTCGAGATATAAAGCTCTCAAGGAAGAGGGTAGGTTTCCAAGAAGATTACATGTATACCCATAGTGCCTTTTAGATTAATTCTATGCTCAGAATTGGTCCTTTGTCATATCTTCCTAGCTGACATATGAGCAAGCATGACAGATGAGCAAGCCCCAAATCAGTGGAAGCTGGAATGTATTTCTCACTTCCTGTGAGTCATATGGAAGTATAAGACAATGGATAAATATATCCTATATATATTTCAGGGAAGCAACGAAGATTGGGAACAATAATTCAATGTATTACACAAGAATTTTTAAACAGCCCAAACACTGCCTAGAGAGAGCATATGATAACCCTGTTTTATTATCAGCTTCCTTCCCCAACCACTGTCTTCCACCTAACAAGAAACTATGACCTCCTGAATTAAATGAATTACATATTACTCAGATTTGGATCCCTGATTTGGATCCCCAGGACTAAAGGTAGCTAAAGATAGTGAATGAGTGGGCTATTTCAAATATCTTGTAACTGGAATTTAATCTTCCAGCATGTCACCTTCTAATCTATCCTCCATTTATTTTCAGAGTGGTTTTATTCAATATTGTCTAATTGTCAGACATTTATTTAAAACTCCCTTTTTACACTTCTCCATTGCCTTTAAGACAAAATGTATACTTGATAACTTCCAATACAAAGCCAAGTTAAGACTTCTTATCTCCTGCAAGGCCTCAGCAATCCCTTCCTTTGATAAAATGATATTCTATTCACCAGGCTTCCACACATTTGGTGCCAAATCATATATAGTGGTTTGATAGATAATACACTTATATTTTATATGTATTTTTATATGAATATTCTCACATATTCAGTATTTACTCTACAATTGTGCCTTTATTATTCTGGCCAAACAAAACAAGATAGATTACTCCTTGGCTCGCAAAAGATTTCTAAAATCAAATTTTCAAATATCTCACCTTTCTATTTGTCTCTCAGTATTAACCTTAAATTTTTTTTAAGATTCGTTTTCTGTCATAATGTGTAACTTTCCTTCTCTCCTTTTAGATCACTCTTTTAACTTTCTTTCCTTAACAGTAATCAGGCTTCTCTCTGAGAATATCACTTCAACTGAAGAGTGCTTAATTGATGACTATTTATTTATTTATTTTTTATAAACCATGTGCTTTAAAGGTAACACACAAGATTGGCATTATTTTTATTCTCCATTAGAAATTCCATATTACTAATCCTGCATACATTTTCAGAATAAAATAATCTCCATCTCTGAGTTGAATAAAAGTAAAATAAATTTAAAAATTTAAAAAAGAAAAGAGAAAGAAATGCAGATCATTTTAAGATCAAGTCATTGAGCTACACCAATCTCTTCCTCTTCTTAACACTGTCATCTGTGACTTTCAGTTAGTTCCCATCACTCATCAAAGATTTTATATGTGGTTTAGATATTTTTCTTTATCCCAAGCCCTAACTTCATACGGATTGACATTAACATTCATGTACACAATGTGTCCAGCTGCAGAGCTTCTTAGTTTTTACAATTTCTTAATGAGCTTCTGTGGCTTCTCACTTGTCACTTACTTTCATGGTCAGACTTTGAGCCTTTTCATAACCCGAATCTGCTCAATCTTTAAAAATCACTAATTCAATAATCTCACTTTATGGCCAATGTCTCATTTCCTCAAGTCTTGTTCAACTAATTTTATCAATTTTTTTACTTCATCAAGATTTCCAGTTTCTTGAAATTGGCACATTTTACAAGTTTATTAGCTATCTCATTTTTTCCTACTCAGCTTTATTCATTTATTGATTTTATGATCCATTTGTTCAAGAGTATATCTAGGTATATAAATTTCAATTATCTCTCTGAATTTTTTTCAAATCCATATTGGAAATTTCATCTTCTGTGAACTGAATAATCTTCACCAAGACTGACCCTGATCATCCAATTGCTTCATGAGATTTCCCCTAACAGGACAAAATTTTTTCCACTATAAATTTTTAACCACAAACCTTAATTAGGGTCTCCAATTTGTTCTGCAATCCTACATTTCTGGCTCTCTTCCCCATCTCTTATTTGACCCGTTTCTAACTCTCTTCCAATTTCCAGCTTTCAGTTTCTTCCCATTTACTCCAAAAAGATGACCTTGTACAACATAGAACTGTTTTGTGCCTCAGATTTCTTTCATATGTACAGCTCCTAAATGTTGGCTTGCTGTTAATTAGCTTATATCATTATGATTATTAGTGGCATTTGCTTCTCTCCTCTTTCCCTATGTTACAATAAAATTCTGACTTCCCATGTTTCTCACATAGTTGCATCATTTATGTTGGCTTTTAAATCAATTCAAGTATATCCTATTCAAAATGAAAAAAATAAAAGAATGCAACAAAATCTTGCTTTTCACATCGTATTTAGTATGCTTTCTTACCTGGAGCAAAGTTCTATAACATCTTATCCATATGTTCTGCCTCACTCTATTTTATTTTTAATCTCCCCCTCACTACACCATTCTGTCTTTCAGCCTCTATCTCTCTATAGATAAAATTCTTACCAAGGTTAATAATTATTTATATGTCAATGAATACATTACTGCTGAACACTCCCACCTTCTCAGAACACTCTATTTATACTGTATTTTATTTTCAAAATTCTCCAGATTTTACTCATACTTCTCATCCTTTGCAATCTACAACAAAATGTTAAATTTTCTTGAGTTTCAGTCCCAAGGTCTCAAGTTGTCTCAAGCTAGAGTATTCTCCTAGGCAATTCCTTCTTTATGTCTGACTTTCACATATATTAGTCAAAAAAAACCAAAAGCATTTATCTGATAAGAATGGCCTTTTAGCTTCAGATACTTATATAAAACTGCGTAATTAACATTAATTCTTATATATCTCGAAGGCACTCTTACATAATAAAGACAGAAACTAAAATTATGATCATTACCCACATACATAATCCCTTACCACTGTTTTTCTTCACAAATGGAACTATTATCCATCAGGTTATGTAAACCAGAAACCCAAGAATCATCTATGACATCCGCCTTTCATTTACCCCAATATCCATATGACTGGAAAATGTTATTGATTTAGCTTACTAAAAAATCTCATGAGCTTGAACACTTATATGAAATACTATGAATCTCACAGTCTTCCCTAGTCCCAGCTACCACCATTTCCTTCCCAGTACAAAAACGTTGATATTTACCCATTTCAATTTTTTAAAAATCCAGAACAGTCTTTTAAGTGAGCAAATAAGTTCATATTACCCCAATACATAGGGCAGTTTAATGGCTTTTTACTGTTATCAGGGTGAAGGCAACATTACTTAAATGCTCTGCATGTTTGGGTACCCACCTAATTCTCCAACCTCATTTACACCACATTCTCCCTAACTGCAGCAACACTGGCTTTCTTTTAGTTCCTCATATTCACCATGCCTCCTCTCAAAATATGCTTTTACATGCACTATTCCTGCTGCCTGGTTATAATTCCAACCTCTCTTCCATCCGTTTACCTGAGGCTTCTGTTTTTCACGAAACCATCACTTTGAAAGAGGTAATTTCCCACATACTAATTACTAATTAATTGATTACAGATCAAATGATCAATTATAAACTTTTATAGCTCCACCACTCTCTTTTTATAGCATATTACTTTATGACACTAATAACAATATAGCAGAGGATACTTCTTTTTTTGAATTATTGTTGAATCTTTAGTGGTTGTCAGAGTACCCGCCCACACAATAAGTGCTTTGTAAATGTTTGTTGGATGACTAAGTGAAAAACTAACAGAATGGCTTGTTCAGTGATTATTTGTAATACATTATTTTTATTGAGATGGAATTAGACATACCTTGGCACTAAGCTGGTGTTCCATAAATGTCAGCCTGAAATGTGTGAAAAACAATTTTGGACTTTGTGTTTATATTATTGGGCAAACAAGTCTATTTATTCAAATAGACTGGCCATCAAATGAAATAGTGACTTGAAAATTACGTTACTTGTCAAAATATTAGATAATCTGCCATATTTCATTTTCCTATTGATAAAATATGTTTTTGACAAACTCATTTGCAGCAAGCATGGGCTCTATTACTGTTTCTAACTAGACTAATAATATACTGTATTCTTTTTTCTAATTTCTTCCCCAAACTTTTAGAGACAATAGGACGAAATTTTTTCTTCTCTTTATTACCACTTGTTTCTATAGCACTGTTTTTTTTTTGGCCCTTAGTCATATTTTTACCAAACTACATTAAAGATAATTTTCAATAGAATTATCTATTTTCTTGAGCATAAATTATCTGGTGTATTTTTATCTGCCACTTTTACAAAGCCATCACAATGCTAAATATAAACTTCTCATAATTATTTTTGAATTAAAGTATACATGACTTCATTGATTTTACAGCACTGAAGAACTTACCAGTAAAATAGGAACTATGATTCTGTAATGGTCAAAACATGAAGCATACTTTTGTTAGTTACAACTGTCCATTAAGGACACTGAAATGTTGTTAAATTATTCTTCACTATAAAATGTATGGAAAAGAAAAAATGGGCTCTGCAGAGAGGTAATTTTTCTATATCATTTTAAACCTGTTTAGTAGTTATGCTTGATACAGTCACGGTGAAAAAGTGGCATTTCAGCTTTTTTAAAAGAAATTATATCATACTATCTCTCCACATCCTCTCCAGTACCTGTTGTTTCCTGACTTTTTAATGATCACCATTCTAACTGGTGTGAGATGGTATCTCATTGTGGCTTTGATTTGCATTTCTCAGATGGCCAGTGATGATGAGCATTTTTTTCATGTGGGACTGTAAACTAGTTCAACCATTGTGGAAGTCAGTGTGGAGATTCCTCAGGGATCTAGAACTAGAAATACCATTTGACCCAGCCATCCCATTACTGGGTATATACCCAAAGGATTATAAATCATGCTGCTATAAAGACAAATGCACACATATGTTTATTGCGGCACTATTCACAATATCAAAGACCTGGAACCAACCCAAATGTCCAACAATGATATACTGGATTAAGAAAATGTGGCACATATAAATCATGGAATACTATGCAGCCATAAAAAAGGATGAGTTCATGTCCTTTGTAGGGACATGGATGAAGCTGGAAACCATCATTCTCAGCAAACTATTGCAAGGACAAAAAACCAAACACTGCATGTTCTCATTCATAGGTGGGAATTGAACAATGAGAACACATGGACACAGGAAGGGGAACATCACGCACTGGGGCCTGTTGTGGGGTGGGGGGAGGGGGGAGGGATAGCATTAGGAGATATACCTAATGTTAAATGACGAGTTAATGGGTGCAGCACACCAACATGGCACATGTATACATATGTAACTAACCTGCACGTTGTGCACCTGTACCCTAAAACTTAAAGTATAATAATAAAAAAAAAAAGAAATTATATCATACTATCATACTGGTCTTTAAGAAAAAAAGAAAATTATCTTAAGGAGGTACATTTTTCATATTTCTGTTCATTATGAATAAATCAACACTTCGGCAACAAACTTTACTGCCTATAAATGAGCATTTCATTGAGACAAAAATGAGAAAAGAAATACAGATGATGTTATGTCAGTTAACTTTTTTCTTTAATTTAGAAATCAATTTTTGGCTGGACATGGTGGCTCATGCCTGTAATCCTAGCACTTTGAGAGGCCACAGTGGGAGGATCCCTTGAGTACAGGAGTTTGAGACCAGCCTGAGCAACATAGAGAGACCTCATCTTTACAAAAAATTAGAAAAAAAATTAGCTGGACATGGTGGCATATCTGCGGTCCCAGCTACTTGGGAGACTGAGGCAGGAGGATCGCTTGAGCCCAGGAGGTCGAGGCTGATGCTCAGATAATAATCTTTGAAATACTTATTCAGTCATTTTGTTTATTGACTTTTACATAATTTCCTTTGCCAAAAATGATTTGAGGTGGCTGATACAGAAATATTTTTGATTTACATTTTGCAATTAATTTTAAAAAATGAATACACATTAATAAAGATTAAAATAAAGCCAGAAATAATATGACAAAACATGCCATTAAATCCTTAGCAACTGTAGAAGTTGAGAAAGAAAGATGGCTTTGAGTTCTTAGGAGCTAAGCAAGAAGGATAATGTAAATTCAAGGTTCACTGTGTCTATAACTAAGATCATTTGCTTAGAATTTCATCATTTGTTTAACTGAATCTAGAGATACGTCCTTCTCTTGAGCCCTTTTAAAGGGTATAATAGGGTATAATATGATTTCGTGGACACAGTATGATTTGGTGGGCAAAGTCCTAACCAAAGAAAAGCAAAGAAACAAAAAAAAACCAGTCCCTAAAATGACAAATGGCACTATTGAGATTAATAGGGCCATTCGTTAAATAAATTTTCATAATGCAAGGGGATTTTATGTACCTGTCTCAAATATCATATAACCAATTACAGAAAGGATAATGACATTGTGGTTTAGGCACTCTGTTCTATAATAGTGAGCCTTAACTAATTAATATATTTCAGAATTTAGATGAAAAGTTGAAGTTATTAAATTAAAATCAGCCTTCCATAAATGTTAGCTATCAAGATGGAGTTTTTGACTGTTATTAGGCATGGTTTTGTTTTGTAATATGGAGTAGGAGTGGACATACTCTAAATTGTTAAGAAAATATTTGTATTGTCTTGTTAGATGTCAAAGATATTTTGTTGATATAGACTCCTGGTTCCTAGTGGGAGAGGATGCAGAAGAACTGTGAATATCCGTATGAGAGGATTTCCTCATAGTCAAGAAGACCACTTGGGCCACACCTGAATGTTCACTTGGGTTTTGGTAGTATTCGTGGTCATTGAGGTAGGAGGCTAACTCCTTATGGAAAAATACCTCTGCTTTCACCCAAGAAAAAGAACCAAAAGTCCAATCTGAATTATCTTGTCTTCAAAATTCTAATCATCCTATACATCTTTGAATGATGATCTTTTGAAAGATGACCTCTCAAATAGCAAATTTGCTGCCAGATTTCAAAGATGCTTATTATCTAAGTTCTAATAACCCTATTTTTTCACAGAATGATTTTAACACAACTTAAAATGTGACTGTTGGCCAGTGTGGTGGCTCACGCCTGTAATCCCAGCACTGTGAGGCTAAGGTGGGCAGATCATCTGAGGTCAGGAGTTCGAGATCAGTCTGGCAACATGGTGAAAACCTGTCTCTATTAAAAATACAAAAGTTAGCCAGACGTGGTTGTGCAGGCTTGTAGTCCCAGCTACTCTGGAGGCTGAGACAGGAGAATCGCTTGAACTTGGGAGGCAGAGGTTGCAGTGAGTTGAGATCATGCCACTGCACTCCAGTCTGGGTGACAGAGGGAGACTGTGTCTCAAAACAAACAAACCACAACAAGAACAAAACACATTGACTGTCACTATTATCCCCAAATACCATAGTTTGTTTTGGAGATGACTATATTGTTATAATTCCACACGTTTACTACCTGGGTTACTCAGTTTTTTCTTACAATGTTCAGTCTCACTGGCATTTTAGGAGTTCCTTGAAAACACCAAGACTTTTATCATTTCAGGCCCAGGTCCTTTCTAAGACACAAGCTGTTCAGTCTTATTCCTGTTTGTTGTAGTGATATGCAGAAATGTCCTAACAATTAGTACACAGCTTTGACACTTCTATTTGGAGAGGCCCAGTTAGTGCAAAGCTCAACACTTCTCTATGATGGTTGTGGCAGGGTTTTCCTTTATCCCCACTGGATATAATAAGTTAAGCTGTACACCTGGGTTGTTGCTGGCATCCATCTTATACTTGCTGCAGCAGCCTTGAACAAAGACACAATTATGGATGGCACAATGGAGAGACAAAAACAAACTGAGCCTTTGATAATTATATTAACCTTCTAAGTCAATCTCTGCCTCTTGGTTTATTGAGACAACAAATTGCTTATTGTTTCAGTTGTAGTTCATTTTTCTTTTGCATAAAACCTTTTGATATTATTATAAGAACAGTGTTTTCATAATCATTGTTTTTACCAAAAGGAGGCAGCAATACTATGACTCTGTGGTGGATCATTTAAGACTTCTTAGCCTTCTAAACCACTATGTTTTTAGGAACTGGTTGAATGCTAACTAGCTGTCCTATGGGACACTTATTTAAATTAGACTTATTTTTTCCCAGCTCAAAAATGTGGAAAATGTAACTATCTTAATAGATTGTTATGAGGATTAGAAGTAATGTATGCTATTTTCTTGCACAGTGTCTAGCACAGAGTAAACCTCAATAATTTATGGCTATTAGCTATCATAATAACAAAATCCTATTTTAAAGCCAGGCTTACTATTGTTTAAAAAGTTTAGGAGACAGAAAAAGCATTCAGTTAATTGTTCCTTTTTTCCCATTATTCTCCAGTGTCAACAACTTAATTTATTACTCTGTCGTATTTGAAAATGTTTTTTCTTAAGCCAACCAACTTTGAGGCAATGAATAAATGCATATAAGTGGAGATACTGAAAATGTACTCACAAAATTGGTTTTCTTGAAACCACATAATTACAACTGTCAATCCTTATTTCCCCAGTGTTAAAGGGAAGCTCACTGATAATGACCACTACTGGTGAGTAATTAACTCCCTCTGATCTAGGTCTCAGAATTTCTTGATAGTGTGTGTGTGTGCTTCTGTGGAATTCACTACTACAACAATATAGCAAAAGCAACACCAAAAATACAAAGAGGCTCTTCAGAAAACAAAATCCCAGCAGGTTCAAGTTTTAAAGTAATCTACATGCTGGCAGATCCAATAAACCTGCTGATTATTGGCTACTCACTCTAAATCCTGCTGCGTCTTACCTACTCAACTGAAGAGGCTGCTGTTCTAAATGATTGCTAATAGTACATGGCAAAGGGATATATGTTGAGATCTATTATTGTTATCAGGAAAATGATAAGAACAGTTGCTACTACCCTGGAGACAGAATGAAGTATTGAAATATCTTGTCAAATGTATTTTTACTGCATAATTCTGTGCAAAAAGTAGCCTAGGTGTATACTTATTTATTTGATCCTGTTGTGTGCAGTAGAGATTTTTCTCTTGTATTAATATTTTAATTTGAAATGTTATTTGCAAAGTGACTTCTTCAAAAACTATAGATTTTTTTCCACTTTAGTTTTTAACTTACCATTTTCAACTTTTGAAAATATCATGTCACTACATGCAAACTCGGTGTAATTAAGAGAAATATTACTGGGGATTAACTTACGGCTATAATGCCTAAGTTCCATGTTTGTCTTATGAGCTGCTGATTGCTGTTGCTCAGCATTGACTCTCGTTGACTAATTAGTCCAGACACCAAAATGTTGTCTACTATTGAACTGAGAGTGTCTGTAACTTTTGTTGTCATTGTTTATATTTCTTACATTTTCCTGGCTTTATCTGGAGCATTCTCTTACTTAACTACCTCATTTGTAGTGTCTGCCTTTTGATCATGCACAGCCATTGCACATAATTCTGGAGTTTATAAATTGTCAAAGCCAGGAAAAAACAGACTTTCAGTCTTTCAAATGTCCCCAAAATGCAGGCCTGATATTCTTGAGAGTTTAAAAAAGCTGAGTGATATACTTAACACTTGCTGTAATGTCCATCTTCAGAGATTGTACTGGTGCTCTCACAAAATTTTTCTTTTTCTTCGTCACTTGCTTTCATAGTCTTTAACTCATAACCATTTCATCTCATGCAAAATTATAGAATACTAATTAAATACCATAAACATTATACGGGGAAACTCCCTTTTATTATTCCAATATTAGACATTGGATCTTCATTATATATAGTACCAGAAGTATACTTATTTTTCTGGTTTTATTGTAAATAATATTAACACATTTTAGCATTTGATAGAGATAATTTAGAAGTATATATTGAAGTTTAACATTGACCCAAGCTAGCTTTCATTTGTTATGGAGTTATGACAGTATGCATAATTTTTAATCATTCAACAAGTACTGTTCATTCTTCTACTTGTTTTACAGCTATACCTGTGTTATCTGGAGCTGTGTCTGTCCCTATAGGGATAGTCTCATGAAGACTCGAGTCTTTCTGTTTCATTAGACTTACTCTAAATTACTTAAAGGAGTCTAAATGAATCTGCTTCTCTTTTGTCCATCACAATGTCTACCATTCTTGGGAATAGGTTTAGTCATTTACACACCCACAGAGTTCTGAGCCTCAGCTTCATCATTTATCCCTGAGAGTGAGCTGCCTATTTGCCTAATGACCATTGTGCCCCTACGGTGTCTATTTGCCCCTCCAGTACTCTCTTGGAAATTACTCTAATTGCATATCCTCAAGGGTTCACATTTATTTTGTTTAAAGTTTTCTTTAGTTGTATTTGTTTAATGTGGTTATATTTCTTTAGAATGGTCTTTTCTATGTCACACAGGAAATGTGAAGTTTGAAGCCTTCCTTTTTTTGCTCAGGTTAGTTGGTGTAAGAACCCTCAACACCTGTGAAGATCAAGCTGTCAGAGTCTGTTGGGCAGTGAAGAATTGATGAGAAATGAAAGATACGTGGGAGGATACTTTTAGTAGGCTAAAGGAAATTAGATAATTTGTATGGCTGAGTTACCCTGTTAAGAAATTAGAAGAGAAAAGGGTTCAGAAATATGTGCCGAGACTTCCATGTTCTTACTCCTACCTCAAAAACAGAAATCAAATTCTAAATACTAGACAGGATCCTAGGTAATATTCCTTCAACCGATTCCAAATCATTTATTTCCCAAGCTGGAATTTGCTCCTAGTGCTTTATTATATTATCTCTAAATTTAATGATTAATAGACCTTAATTATTAATGCTATTTACAAAAATTATGGACTTTGTGTTACGCTTTTATGTGGTTTCTTAAAATAGAAACAATCTCTGTATTATCATGGAAACTAAGTTTAATTTGCATAGTGTTTCCCATCTCAGTCATTTAGGTTGTCTTTTTCTTATAATAAAATTCTATACTCAGTAAAATATGATTACCTTAGTTAAGTAAATTGTTTGGTAACAAGAGATAATAAATTGACATCATAATTTAATCAAGTCAAATTAAAACCAAGATTCTTGTTGAAATTTTCTGGCTTGGATTTCTAATTTATAATTATTCTTATAACAAATCACATCAATTAAACTATATAGACAATATAAATTGACTGCTAAGTTTAAAATTAAAAAAATTCTTGTTAACATGACTAAGTATTGCACATAGCTATGTCTTCTCTCTCAACAAAATTATTTTAATAGTACAAATAAAATAATTTCAAAAAGCAGTTCTCGAAAGAACAATAGGAGAAAAGAACATAGCAGAAAAGTCAAACAGGAAGTGTATGGAAAATACTAAATGATACAATAAATCACAGAAAACTGATGTTATGCTTGCAGAATAGAACTCTGAAGAAGCTCAGGAATTGAAGGCACTAGGAACTTTTGAAGGGACTGATGTGTTTTCCTGAAGTGGAGTCAGATGAGTAGGTTACTGATATAGTTTGGATGTTGTCCCCACCAAAATCTCATGTTGGAATGTAATCTCCAATGTTGGAGGTGGGACCTTCCTGGAGGTGATGGATCATTTGGGTGAATATCTTATGAATGGTTTAGCACTATCCTCTTGGTAATGTCCTTGCAATAGTGAATGACTTCTCCTAAGATCTAGTCATTTAAAAGTGTGTGACACCTCACCCCCACTCCCTCCTGCTCCTGCTTTCACCAGGTGACACGCCTGCTCCCTTCTTTTCTTCTGCCATGATTGGAAGCTTCCTGAAGCCTCCCCAGAAGCTGAGAAGATGTTGGCACCATTCTTTCTGTAAAGCCTGTAGAACCGTGAGCCAATTAAACCTCTGTTTTAAATAAATTATTCGGTCTGAGATATTTCTTTACAGCAATACAAGAATGGCCTAATACAGTTACATATTGTGGAAGGGCAAGTAAGACACAGATCTTCACTACTGTGCAGCACTAAGTAACTGCCTATACCTACCAACTCCCAACTCTGACAAAAAAATGTTTATATTATGGTGATATTTGCTCTGTTGAGCTCAGAGATAAAAATACTGCCTAGAAACAACAACATTAAGTAAAAGTAAGTGACATGCTGAAAAGAAAATATTCACTGAATGTTGAGGGACTTCAAATGCAGAGATCAACTTATTATTTTACCATTAGCAACTAAAGCATGCCAGTTGTCATGTACCAATCAGCTTTCAAATGTCTCACCACTAAATATAAATAATATCCCAGATTCAGACATAGGGAACAACACTTAACATAAAAGTTGGAACACTAAATAAACAGCAGAAGAAAAGAACTCAGGAGATATGGAGTAAATGTGGGAAACAAAATAAATGATAAATATGGAGGGTTATGTATAAGTGTGTGTATATATACAGCATATATTATACAATAAAGTAAGAAAATTGCAGAAATTACAATGAGGATATGACATGATGGAAGACGGGAGAGTATAAAAAAGAAAACAACAGACTTAGTTTAGGAGATGTTACATCCCACTTAGGAATTGGAAAATGAGTAGAGATTAGAGAATTCCAAAAAGTCACAACAAAACAAACAAACTAACATACAAACAGAGGATAGGCAATTATGGAAGAAATAATACAAGAAAATTCCCTGGTAGTAAGTACTTGCATTTTCAGATTGAAAATATCCAGAGAGAGTCCAGCACAATAAATGAAAACCTATATCACCAAGGTATCTCATCCTGATATTTTAAGATCTAAAGATAAAAAATTGAAAAGTTTCCAGAAAGAGAACAAAGATATTATTAAATAAATAAAGCAAAGTCAAATACAAAGGATGAACAGAAGAATGTTATGAGCTTTCTGAGAAGCAAAGCGGAAATGTAGAAGGATTGGTCTAAAAATTCTTACAATGATTTTCGATTCAGAATTCTGTGACAAATTAGGAATTTTTGGTATATCTACAATAGTTTTTACCTCACGTGGGACCATTATCATGATGCTGCTGAAGACCATGCTCCTGCAAGATGAGATATTGAGAGGCTTAAAGAAAGAAAGAAAGAGACAATAGGATCTATGAAACAGGCATCCCATGTAGGAGAAAGGAGAAAGAAATCTCAGCCTCATGAGGAAAATAATTTCCATGGTAGTGATAAAGCTACTGAGATTGGAGGAGACAGAGGCATGGTGGCAGGAGGGATGCCTCAAATTGAAAATACATACATATATATGTGTGTATATATATATATATTCTATATATACTATATATAACATTATATATTATACATTATATTATATATTATACATTAAATATTCTCTGCATTTTAATACTCTAGTATAGGTAACGAAGTTTAATGTGTGTATGTATGTATATATGTGTGTATACTATATATATGCATACTATATATTTGTGTATATATTTGTTATATATATACAAATATTGTGTATATATACACATTTGTGTGTATATATACATATATAGCATATATGTATATATGTGTATATATACAAATATACTATATGTATATATACTGTATATGTATATATAGTATAAATATATACTTATATACTATATACTATATATAGTACATATGTACTATATGTACAAAATATATACTCTTTTTATATATATAAACTCTATATATACTAATATATATATATACTATATATATAGTATATATACTATTGTAGCAGGATGAGCCGCAGACAAAACCTCTCAGAAACCAAGTTGTAGAAGGAAGGGCTTTATTCAGCTGGGAGCACTGGCAAGTTACTGCCTTAAAATCTGAGCTCCCCAAGTGAGCAATTCCTGTCCCTTTTAAGGGCTCACAAGTCTAAGGATTTCACATGAAAGGGTCGTGATTGGTTTGAGTAAGCAAGGGGTATGTGACAGGGGCTGCATGCACCGGTGGTCAGAGAGAAAGAGAACAGGGCAGGGAGTTTCACAGCGTTCTTCTGTACAATGTCTGGAATCTATGAATAACATCGGTTTCTAAGTTATGAGTTGATTTTTAACTACTGGGTTTAGGCCAGGCAGGCCCAGGCCTGGTTTCAGGCCTGGCGCTGGACTGCCTGTCTTTGGTTTTAATTCCTTGTTTTTTTTTAAAATAGGAACTGAGTATAAAACAATATGAGAGGGTCTCTCTCTTCCCTCGCTATATATATAAAATATATATATATATATTTGTCTTACTTGTGGAAGGGCAAGTAAGACACAGATCTTCACTACTGTGCAGCACTAAGTGACTGTCTATAACTACCAACTCCCAACTCTGACAAAAAACATGTTTATATTATGGTGATATTTGCTCTGTTGAGCTCAGAGATAAAAATACTGCCTAGAAACAACAACATTGTTGTTGTATAAAAATATACAACATTGTTGTATAAATATATATATAGTATATATACTATATATAAAATATACTATATATAAATATATAGTATACATACTATTTATATAAAATATATAGTATAGTTTTTGTATATATATACAGTTATATAGTATATATGTATATATAGTTTTTGTATATTTTTATATGTTATAGTTTTTGTATATGTATGTGTATAGTTTTTGTATATATATGTATGTATATACAGTATACACACATATATATACATACATACACACATTAAACTTCATTGCCTATATTACAGTATTAAAATTCAGAGAATATTTGATGATAGAAATTAAAAAAGGAAGTATGCCCCCAAATTTTAATTGCTCTCTCTGGACAACATAAACATTTAATCCCTATCAATTTACATCATTTCAGAACATTATAGAAATCAGATGTAACCAATATTTACATGATTATGATAGTGCAAACCATAATATTTACTAGATAACTCTAATTAAACTTTATTGAAAGAATGTGATAAGGGAAAATGTTTTTGTTTGATGCGGCATGAGTGGTCTAAAACTTCATTTTCTGTGGTAGGAAATTGATAGACAATATTTATTAATGGAACAACAAGATATAGCAGGATAACTATGCATTTAGGAATAGGGTTACAGATAGAAGAAACATCTAAAATTAATGAAAACACTTTGAAGTGCTTTCATGTTTTATTATCAACTATGTAATTCTATTCGTTTTATACATATACACATATACACACATATAACACACATATGTGTGTATAGGTTTGGGTTTATATATTTGTGTTTATACTACATATATGTAAACATATAGCCCTTCTTCATCTTACTCCTCTTGCCATCTCCTCCTCATCATCTCCTTAGGTAATCTAATGATAAAAGACAATTCCACAGATTAGAATAATGACTCCAATATTTTGCTAGAGTTGATTCATATTTTGATATTTTTCAAATGATTTTTAATGAGAATTTCAAAAATAGCTATCAAACAAGTAAGCATATGCACTCTGAGATCAGAAAACCTAAGTTCAATTTCTGGTTCTCTTATTTACTAGGTATATTTCCTCAGGCAAATTAACCTCCTTGGGCTTTACTTTCTCCGTTTGTAAACTGGTATAAAAATAGCACCTATTTTATAAAGTACTATGAAGACAAAATTAATAAACATAAAGTAATTAGTGTAGTTCTTGGCACAAGACAAGCATTACACAAATAATAATTGCTATTGCATGTACCAAAAAGGATATCGTTAAAGGTATAGCAATACAGTAATTATTTAAATTTGCTTTCTAATCCATTTTTTTTAAGGAAAGCTGCTATGTACTTTATTAAGGCAGAAATATATAGACTAAATCATTTCAGATATTTATAACTCTAGGACAACATTCTTTAATATACCATTTAAATAATGAGTAATGGAGGGTTTTTTTTTGTTGTTGTTAAACTGGATGCTTTGAGGGAGGGCATTTTTGTATTTTAATTGTTCAACAAAGGGACCCTAGAAAAATGTTTGACCTGTTTTATTTTCATTATTTATTTATTTTTGCCTTTCTAATTTTTGTTTTTTGTTTGCTTGCTCCTGTACCCAAATTGTGGAATAAGTTATATTATTTCCGGTAACACAGAGCAATGCAGTATTAAAATACCATTTTCTGATACAGCTTTTTTCACCATCATTATATTCTCTCTCTCTCTCTTTCTCATTGAGGGTTCATTAAGGAAAAAGAGAGGCACTATTAATGATTCAGACAGTATTGCGATCAGATCTTGGGCAGTTGTGACGTTGGAGGAAGAGACTGTGCACAGACAGTGTTTCTGTGTCAATTATTTAGCCAAATTTGCTACAGGTCAGCCAATTCAGCAGTGAGAAAGGAAAACTGGATGTGAACAAGAATGTGACAAAACTGAAATCTGTGAGAATGATGTGAACCCCGTGGGGGCATGGGGAAGTTAGTGTACATCCCCAAAGAGCTGCACATGTGCTTAAGTGAAGACTCAGAAAAGCCGAAGAGGTAGATTTGGCAGGATCTAGAGGAGTTATAGGTCTGGTGCTACTCCTCAGCAATAGTTTGCTAGCAGACCAACAATAATTCATGTGAACAGCCACAGTACCTGGTTAACCTGCATCAACTTTCAGAAGATAAAAATATGGCTGCTAAGTCTAAATCTCACAAAACAAATTTATGTTATGAACCATATATGGAAATAATTCTGGGAAATGTAGTTTCAGTTTAAGTTATGGCAGTACAAAGCCGTCCTCTATCCTTTGTCAATTTAGCATCCATTCCGACCTCTCTTAACAAGAATAACTTTTATTTATATTATTATAACAATTATTATTTTTTTGTGTGTGACAGAGTCTCACTCTGTTACCCAGACTGGAGTGCAATGGTGCCGGCGCCATCTCGGCTCACTGCAACCTCTGCCTCCTGGGTTCAAGTGATTCTTCTGCTTCAGCCTCCATAGTAGCTGGAACTACAGGTGTACATCTCCACGCCCGGCTAATTTTTTTGTATTTTAGTGGAGACAGGGTTTCACCATGTTGCCCAGGGTGGTCTTGAACTCCTGAGCTCAGGCAATCCGTCCGCCTCAAGCCTCCCTAATTGCCAGGACTACAGGCATGAGACACTGCACCCTGCTCAACCAGAATAACTTCTAAATAATGATAATAATGTATTCATTGTTTTGCCTAATGGGATACATCTTTACCTTACACATTTGAAAACATGCTAACCTTGTCATTAAAAGAGAATATAAATTTTTTTATTAGTCTTTGGTTAATATAACTTCCTCATTTTAACTGTGTCAGACTCCTTCCTTTGATATCTTATAACTTACATACTGAAATATAAGGTCTATTATTATGAACACAGGTTATGTTAAATGTAGGGGGATGGAAGATGGGTAAGAAATAAAACTAGTTAATAGATACAAACACAAAACTCTATAAATTAAAAGGAAAACAGTCAAACTCTACTAGTCCTCATTTTGCAAATGATAATGTGATAGTAGCTGGTATTCGTAACTACCTTTTTACACTAGTGTAATGAACAGAATGTTTGTGTCTCCCCAAACTCATATGTTGAAGTCCTAACTCCCAAGGTAATGGTATTAGGAGGTAGGACCTTTGAGAGTGATTAGGTCATGAGGGTAGACGCTTAAAGAGTGAAATGCATGCCCTTACAAAAGAGACCCTAGAGAGCTTTCTAGTCCTCTTTCCATCACGTAAGGACACAATGAGAAGACGACAGTCTGCGATCCAGAAGCAGGTTACATTAGTCCATTTTCACACTGCTGTAAAGAAATACCTGAGACTGGGTAATTTATAAAGGAAAGAGGTTTAATTGATTCACAGTTCCACATGGCTGAGGAGGCCTCAGGAAACTTATAATAATGGCAGAAATTGAACAGGAAGCAAAGCAGCACCTTCACAAGGTGACAGGAGAGAGAGAGGGCGCGCATGTGAGTGCAGGAGAAACTACCATTTATAAAACCATAAAATCTCCTGAGAATTCACTCACTATCACAAGAACAGCATGAGGGAAATTGCCCCTTTAATCTAATCACTTCCCTCTGGGTCCCTCCCTCAACTCATGGGAATTATGGGGATTACAATTCATGACGAGATTTAGGTGGGTATACAGCCACACCATGCCAAGGGCTCTCATCAAATTTTCACCATACTGGCACCTTGATCTTGGACTTTCAGCCCCCAAAACTGTGAGAAATAAAATTCTCTTGTTTATGAGCTTGGTTTATGAGCTTGGTCGTAGCAGCCTAAGACAACACCCATTCTGTGTTTTTTTTTCCTTTCATGGCTGGCAGAGATGGCCCAAATTTATATGAGGAGATATGTTCCCATTGTCCATCTTGGCCTATGGAGAATAGCTGCCAAAGGCCTCATTAAGGATGCCAGGACTCCTCTCATAAATTTAATTCTCATTGAATTGCTTTTGAGAGTTTCCACTGAAGTCCCCTGGGATACAAGTTCCCCAGTTTAATATTAGTTTGTGCAAAAGTAATTATGGTTTTTGCCACTTAATGTAATGGCCAAAACTGCATTTACTTTTGCACCAAACAAATACTTTGTCAATATGCCCTTTATCTCCATTTTCAAGCTCCATTACCTTACCAGTTGATATGGTTTAGCTTTGTCCTCACCCAAATCTCATCTTGAATTTTAGTTCCCATAATCCCCATGTGTCATAGGAGGGACCCCATGGGAGGTAATTGAATCATGGGGGCGGTTACCCCCATGCTATTTTCATGAGAGTGAATGAGTTCTCATGAGATCTGATGGTTTTATAAGGGGATTTTCCCCTCTTTCCTCCACACTTCTTTTTCCTACTGCCCTGTGAAGAAGGTTCCTTTCTTTCCCTTAGCCTTCTGCTACAATTGTAAGTTTCCTTAGCCCTTTCCAGCTATGTGGAACTGTGAATCAATCAAACCTCTTTTCTTTATAAATTACCTAATCTCATGTATTTCTTCACTGCAGCATGAGAACAGACTAATACACCAATCAATGCCCTAATTTTATCAGAGATGCTAGGAGGTTGGGAGGTAAATTTTGCATGAAAGTTCAGCCATCTGTAGCATTAGGCTTTAAGTTTGATTTTCTAAAATCTTGATCCTGGGACTACAGAAAATGTGTTGATTTTAGGGTGGTAGAGAAAACTTTCTGGTCACTCACTTGAAATTCAAGCAGAGGATTTAAAGCCCTGACCATATGATTTTCTTTCCCCCAAGTTCTTCAGTGTACTTAGAAGCAACCAATCAGCCTGTTACACTCATTTTTTACTAAGTATTCTACCTGATCCCTCAAAGCCTTACCTTCTATAAGCACTTAATTAGAAATGCCTATGGGTGATAATTTAAGTATCTGTTGCCACTACTTGTAATGAATTAGCAGTATCTCCTTTATCAATGCAAATAGAGTCATTAATGCCTTTAAACCTAATCAAATCACACAATAAATTCTAGATAAATCAGTGCCAATTCAGAGAACTACTGAAAGTTCCAAGTAGTCAAACCCTGGAATAATTTAATTTTTGAATATAATTTCTCAGTGGAATTATATATTTTGCAGTGCTCAGAGTAATATAATAATTCACATTGCTGTATGTGGCTATTTTATTAATTACAGTTATTTGAGGAAGATTCTAGGGTAAATTTTGTTATATACCATTTTTCTCATATACACCTACTTTAAAACTTGTAAGAACAATAAGACTTATTATGCCCTTATATATGTAATATGAAGATCCCTTTATGTGATAAAGACAATGCTCATGAAATGGTTAATAGAGTTTAATCAATAGCATCTAATGGTTAGTCTATAACACTGTTGTTCAGTTGTAGATAACAGTGTGTAAATACTTTATGCACTTAGCCACATCCCTTTGGAAAGATCCCATAACTTTTAGCAGTTTCCCGAATTACCCTCAAAATTGAAACAAAAATGAACTAATGAAATCTAGCTTGAAATCAAATGGTTGGAGCTAAAAACCATTTAAAATAAAATAAAGTTTTAATGGCACTATTGAAATGCTATAACTAATGATATGCTATAGACTTTTTTCATAGTCACAACCTTTTTTTTCTTCTTAAATTAAAACTTATCTTCATGGTATTAATCAAATAAGTACATAATAATAAAGGAGAAAAGATTTTTAAAACTGAATCAGCCTTACTTTATATTGTCAGTATTTCAGGCTCCACGTGTACACTCAGTAAGATAATGAATAGAAAGACAGAAAGTACAATTAGTGGCAAACAACATTTATTTTTTACACACTCAACCTTTGACTTTCCCTTTTAATTTAAATTTTCAAGTGTTTGTTAAACACCGCAGCCACACTTTTCTTTTTAGCCTTTTGATTGTAGCCACTATGATATGGTTTGGCTGTGTCCCCACCCAAATCTCATCTTGAATTGTAGTTCCCATAATCCCCACATGTCCTGGGAGGGACACGGTGGGGGGTAACTTAATCATGGGGGCAGTTACCCCCATGCTCTTCTTGTGATAGGGGGTAAGTTCTTACGAGATCTGATGGTTTTATAAGGGGCTCTTCCCCCTTTGCTACACACATTTCTTTCTCCTGCCACTTTGTGAAGAAGTTGCCTGCTTCCCCTTCCACCATGATTATAAGTTTCCTGAGGCTCCCACAGCCATGTGGAACTGTGAGTCAATTAAACCTTTTTCCTTTATAAATTACCCAGTCTCAGGCACTTCTTTATAGCAACATGAGAATGGACTAATACACACTATATAAGGGCCTATTCTTCACCAGTTCTTGTGTTTTATATAGGAAGGTCTAATTAACCAGATCTCATAATGTTCTGAGACTTCTATTGGCAAGTCATACTGATGACTTCTATTGGCACCAACTTTCTTCTGAGTTTCAGAACCATATTTCTAACTAGCCAGGCAATATGTTTTTATTCAATATGTCTAAAATTAATATCAATTTACTTTTGCCTACGGATTTAAAAATGATATAATTACATAAATACTAAACATTTTAAATTACAAATTAATATTTACTATCTCGTATAAATAAACCTAATCTGCTGGTCTATGGCAAAACATCTACTCACTAAGAAATTCTCTATTTTACCAAAATACAGAAATACTTTACCAAAAGTTCTTCTAACTGCTTATCTTCTAAGCTTGAGGGAGCCATATGTTTTTAGTACAGATAATGATATAGGAAACTACTAGTATGCAAAGGCCTGTCAAGGAGAAAAGTATGTGTCCATTAGCAATTACTATCTCCTTGGAAGTATAAACCCTTCTTAAGTAAAAATCTATTACTTTTGGAGCAGAAAGATGTACTTTGGCTCATATATTTTGTCCTTCACTTTCATCTGACTTCTTATGAGTTTAAAGAATATCTTGATATGCAAAGTAATCTACTTTATAAATATTATTTTCTCAATATGAAATTCTAGCAAAGTAATGTGCTTTGTTAATTATGTAATATGAAAAGCTCGCTTCTAATTGTTTTCATCATAAAGCAGCAAACCTGAGCATTGTTTTTATGATCACCAGTTACAGTGATTAAAGAAACCTCAAAATATATACATATATTTTTAAAATTATCTCTGAATTTTAAAAACATTTTACTTGAGACAATTGTAAATTCATATGCAGTTGAAAGAGAGACTCTATGTACCTTTCACCTGGTTTCTCCTAATGGTAACATCTTACAAAGATATAATACGATATCACGACCAAGAAATTGAGATTGATGTAATTCATCTACATTATCTAGATTTTACCAGTTTTACATGAACTTGTATATGTGCATTTGTTCATATGTATGTGTATATGTATTTAGCTCTGCACAATTTTATCATATGTGTAAATTCATGTGATCAGCACCACAGTCAAGAGGTTTGAATTCCATGTCCCTAATGACTAATGATGTTGAATATATTTTGATATACCTAATTGCCACGAGAATGTCCTAGTCAGTGAAATATGTTTACATCTATTGCCCTTTTTCTAATAAGTTACTTTATTGAGTTTCTTATGTACTCTAGATATGTCTTCTGTTTGATATGTGGTTTGCAAAGATTTTTTTCCCAGTCCACAGCTTGTCTTTTTATCCTCTCCACCGGGTCTTATGTAGGGCTAATTTTTTAATTTTGATGAGGTACAGTTTATCATTTTTTTTCTCATACTTTGATATCAAGTTTAAAAATTTTTTCTTAGTATTAGTTCTTGAAGATTTTCTCGTATGTTTTTCAGATATTTTCTAATTTTATGTTTCACGTATAAGTCTAGGATAAATTTTTAGTCTTTGAATCTATTTTTGTAAAGTGTAGTTTTAAATCTTTTTTTGTTTTTTGCCTATGGATTCCAAAATTAGTTGTGGAAATCTGCAATTATAGGTAATTCATTTTTTTAGTGGAAGTAAATTCAAAGGTCTATCATGAGTTAATGTTAAGTTTGCTTATATTTTAAAGAAAAATGTAGATATTTAAAAACTATTCTACTAATCCCAGTGTTAAATCATCCACATCTTTGAAAATATATGTAGTAATTTGGAATATTCATTAGACATAAATTCTCTTTTATATTTTAAAACACATAATCACAAAGAATTATGTTGCTTGGATAATTTTACTTGTAGTTGATTGTGTTCAAATTTACAAACATAGTCTTCTACTATTATACTTTAACTTTTGTTCTATTTTTGTAACCTGCCTTACAGATTGGAAACGTATTATCAAAAGTTTTGCATTTGTGCTACTTTTAAACAAAATAGTGTATAAAGAATAAGAATTCTTATACTTTTCTCATATCTATCACCTCTTTTTCAGTCACACTGCTAGCTAATTTACTCTTATTCAGATCTTATGTTATATCTATAAGAAGGTGTCCTTGCATCTCTATCTCTCAATCTCTGTCTCTATATATCATTCTCTTTGTGTATTTCTCTTATTTGTCCAAATTACCAATAAGTAATCTGCACATGACAAACCTTTCTTCATCTTCATGTCAATATAGCTTTTGTAGAAAAGTAATTGCTATTTTGGAGGTAGGGGATTAAATAACTTTGGCGACTGACATGAAGACTTCGGCTTTCAGTAATATGTAACAGACTGTACAAATTCATCAGAGACAATTATTCTGATGAAAACAGAATGGGCAAACTGCAGTATCTCATGTCTATAAATCCAACACTTTGGGAGGCTGAGGCAGGTGGATTGCTTGAGGCCAGGAGTTATCGACCATCTTGGCCAACACGGCAAGATCATGTCTCAAAAAAAAAAAAAAAAAAAAGAAAGAAAACAACTGGAATGCTCATCATATTTTATTTCAAATTGTTTTAGAAACGGCACAATTATATTGGACTGCTGTATATTCTATATAAGATTGCATTAAATTATACAGTTTAGTGGCATATATGAAATTTTTTGATACAGAAATCTTTATAGTTTAAATTATCATGTCATCCTTTCAAAGGTCTTTTGAAGAATACAAATTTTAATTTGATGAGGTTCAATTTTTTTTTATGACACGTGATTTTGATGTCAGGTCTAAGAACTCTTGTAAATAGACTATAAATGTGACGGAGGTTTATGTCCTTTAGAGTATATCCAGAGAAAAACTTGGAAAAAAGCACTGTCATCTCAGCAAAAAACTTAATGATTTTCTGCCCTGTTATCACTTTCTGAATAAATGAAGCAACCTATAGAGTTGAAACGTTCCTGCCAGCTGCCTACAGTCTCTTATTGAGCCACTGCAGTAAAGCATTCTGTACCTATTTAGATTAATTATGATTAAATTTAAAAGCTGAGTTGGTTAAATTGCTTCATTTAATTAAAATGGAGACAAATTAATTGTTTTTATATGCTGCTTTTTTGAAAGATTGTGAGTTTCTGATTATTGGCTAAGTTTAGGAGTACTTAAGATTTAGAATGTTAGCCACTTCAAATAGAAAATTTAACTGTTTTCTGATTTCAGAGAACGTGTCTGTTGTGAGAAGATTCTTCACATTTTTAATATAATAAAAATTAACTCAAAGATAGCTCATATCCACTTTGGGAGGCCGAGGCGGGTGGATCATGAGGTCAGGAGATTGAGACCATCCTGGCTAACAAGGTGAAACCCCGTCTCTACTAAAAATACAAAAAACTAGCCGGGCGCGGTGGCGGGCGCCTGTAGTCCCAGCTACTCGGGAGGCTGAGGCAGGAGAATGGCGTGAACCCGGGAAGCGGAGCTTGCAGTGAGCCGAGATTGCGCCACTGCAGTCCACAGTCCGGCCTGGGCGACAGAGCGAGACTCCGTCTCCAAAAAAAAAAAAAAAAAAGATAGCTCATATCTCAGAGACAAAAAATATTAGTGTAGAAGTATTTACAGCCCTCCTCTTCCCAACAACACACACACTCACACACACACACATACACACACACATATTATACATTCTATGGAAGATTATTTGTTTGATCTGCTTTTCTGCCAGTCTTTTGATGGATTGATCTTTATAAAATATAGATTGAAAAATTTAAAGAAGCAAAAAAGTCTGCAGTTATCTACAATAAGGAGGCAGAAATATAACAGAGAAAACAATGAAAGATGATGATCATCTATACACTAGGGTTAGGGAGGTGGATGGAGAGAAAAGAATCAGTTACGGAGAGAGGCAGTGAAGGAAACTTGCTAAGAAAGATTATGTAGTGAGACAGTGAAAATCCCACTCCGAATTCATTTGTACAACTTTCCACTAAAATATTATGCTTTGGTGAATAATTAAATAGAATCAAGAAGGCTATTGTTTTTGTTTTACAATTGAATTATAACTCATTGAGGACAGAATGCACAGTTTTATGTTCATCTATAAATAGCTAGTATCTATAAATATACTTTATTTACCTTATATCACTAATATTACAAGAACATAATGTTATTCCTGGTTCTTCCCAGAAAAGAGGGTGGTGAAGAGGCAGCGTCTTTGGTCTGGAGTAATACCCGAGATTCATTTTCCCACACCAATGAAATCAAGGACTTGGACACACAAGGAGTGAGGTTAAGAGGGGGAGGTTTAATAGGCGAAAGAAAGAGAAAAGCTCTCTCTCGCAGGAAGAGGAGATCCCGAGCGGCTCTTCTGGTCCACCATGAAGTGCAGGAGGTTTTATAGATGAGCTTGAGGAGGCTGTGTCTAATTTACATAGGGCACAAGGGATTAGTTGGACCAGGTGTGTCATCTGCATAGTGCACGAAAAACTGGTTAGGACTAGATGTGCCATTTGTATAGCACCCAAAGAAGGTGGATGCCCCACCCCAATCTTTTATTATACAGATGGGTTCTCCACCTGGCTGGTACCATGTTGCCTGCTTTTTTACTGTACGAGTGGTGACAAAGGAAGGGAAGATGGAGTCTCCATGTTGAACATACTTGGCTTCCAGGTAGCCCTTTTCTATTGGCACAGCACTGACGTTTACCCATGCAAGCTTCCAGCTTGCTTATCTATGTTTGCAGCTAAATTTTACAGGCTGCTCTTTCTTAGAAAGGAAATGACTTAGGGGTTGCTTTTTGTTGAAAGGGAAGCCTTGCTGAGGACTCCTTTACCCTATATACCTAAATAATTTCATTTTTAGCTCCTGTATCAATAGCATTCACTGGTAATGGAGGAAGAGACTTGAGACTTGAGTCTCTCTTCTTCCTCACCTCTTCCTTTTAGATTCGAAACCTTTCCCTTTCCCACCCTAACTTCTTCAAGTTTACAGGCTTTTGCATTATACAGTGGAAGTATTTCACCAAAATCCCCAAACTCTTGTGACCGGGCAAAGGGTATAGTCTTTTTAATAGTTTAATGATGCCCTCTAGGATGATGACACTGAAACTGTATGGCTGGCTAGATCTGATCTTCCTAGTAAGCTTTAAGTTTCTATTTTCAGTGTATTTCTGCAGTTTTACTACTAGTATCTCAGACTCAATCTGTTCAAATTTAGGTTCACCAAGTCAGTTCAACTTATCTTTAACTCTTCCCCGTCATACACTTCCATATGTATTCATTTCATCTGTTATAACTTCTATATCCAGCTTTTGTATTTTCCTCTTCTCTGCTAAGATTATATTCCACACCACTATTGTCAGCTACCTGGACTACCTTAACAGCTTTCTAGTAAGTAGTCCTGTTGGCCACTGTGGCCCATTCTACACATATCAGCCAGAGTGGTTTTGTCAAAGCCTTCATCAAATCACCTAAATCCCTTACTTAACAGTTTTTTAAAGGATTCCATTCCCATTACAATGGAATTCACCCCCTTTACCTTGGCATCCAAGATCCTGCATAATTTGTCTGGTCAACCTCTTTAACTGTCTCTCCCATTATTTTCTAACTTTCTTACTGAGCTCCAATCACACAGTTTTATTTTTTGATTATTAAATTCAGAATCATGTGGTGTCATTTTTCAAGGCCTCTGTACTTGCCTTCACCCATATTTGGGAAGCTCTTTCATAAAATACCTGCACAACTCTCTTTTTGTCCATTTACTCTCAGATCAAATATGACCCCCCTCAGAGATTTATTTCCTGATTATTGTGGCTCAACCAGCTTCCCAGATCCCCAACTCCCATAAGCAGTTTTAAAATTTACATATTTATTGCTTTTTCCGAATTCTCACTCCCAAGGTAGTACCTAATTTTGAATAAAAGATTATTTCCATGTTTTTTTGCTATTCTGGGATACAAATGATTTGCAAAGTTAAAAGTTTTAAGAACCTCTTCCAATATCAAAATATGTTCTCTTCTTATCTGTACCTACATCTACATCTAAATCTCTCTAAACAATCTATTTATTTTTTAAGTTCTAGCAAAATAAGACCAGTTACTATTGTTAATGTTAATATTTCCAGAACACATCTAAAACCTTGATCCCATGTATAAGTTTTAAAAGTAATTTTTTTCCAGGGAGTTGGAATTTAAAATCCACATGTGATTGCTGAAACCTAAATATCATTTTGTAAACACTTAGATTCAATTTGTTTCTTGTGTTTGGTGGCTAAATTAATTATCTAAATAATGTAAGTAGTCTTATACTATATGCTATTCATTTTGCTGTCATTAAATGAAAAAGTGTAAAAAATATGTTGTAAAAGGGTTTAGATTTAAAAAAGTCTTTCTTTATATAGGTACATAGCTATTTCTTAGAATAATACAAGTTTAAAAATTATATCTACATATTTTTAATACAAGTCTGCAGGATAGGATAGAATATTTCTTATCTCGCAATGAGTAAGATGTGAGCAAAAAAAGAGTAAGACACATTTATTATAGACCTCTTTCATAGGAACAAATATAAGTTATAAATTTCATATGTTCTTTTAGTAGGCTATAATATGTTTGATGTTATCATTTGTTCCACATGCAATAAATACTTGCTTTACATTTACCAATGACCCTATATATTTCAGACAGTAAAGAGGAATAAGAAACAAAAAAAGAAGAAATCTAACATGTACTTTTCATCTATAATGTGCCAGGTTTGGGGCTATGTAATTTTTATAAATAAAACACTTAATGTTCACAAAATCACATAAAATAAGGATGGATTGATTACTTTCCAACTCTTTGGACTTTCAGAAAGAATTAAGCAGGTCTGAATTTGAATCCTGTTTCTATTTATGCATTATATCCATGTCATTTTTCTAATCTATAAAATGAGAATGGCTTTTACCTTAAAGGAATACTGTCTTTTGCAGTCAAACTCCTTGGAAAAGTTGTATTCCTTCAATTTCTTCAATCCCTGGAGCCTTGTTTTTCTCTTAGACTCCTATCATCTGGCTTTTCTTTCACCATTCCAATATAACTGCTCTTGCCCAGTTCACCTGTGACTGCCATACTGTAAAATCCAATGATGAATTCATGTCCTCATTTTACTCGTTCTCTTAGTGACACTCACACAGGTGCTCACTCCCTCTTCACTTCCTTTATATACTTTCCTCACTCACCATTTAGGATACCACTATCTCCTGCTGCAACTGCTTCTACTTCACAGGTGCTCTTTCTTTTTCTTGGCTGTTTTATTCCAATATTCTCAATGTCGAATTGGTGGAAGATTTCCAGGTTCAGTTTGGTCCTTTTCTATTCTTGAATTAGCTTCTTTCCTTGGTGAATTCATGCAGTGTCCTGATTTTAAATTCATGTACATGCCAGTGATCCTCGATTTATATTTTTAGCGTGATCTTCCTTTTGAACTTCAAACTCAATTATTGGCTGCTTACTCAATATCTTTACTTGTCTGTTTGTTGAAAGTCTCAAACTGAATATATAGAACATTGACTACTGTTCTTCCCCTCCTACATCTGCTTACACCCACATCCATTCTTTCAGTTGCTTAACCCTAAATCTTTGGAGTCATCCTGCACTCTTATCTCCCTCCCCCCAACCCCAACAATGTTGTCTGTCACAGAATCTGGCAATCCAGCACTTTCTCACTACCTCCCTAAATAAATATCTTCTGTATCTTACTGGGATGACTGCAATAGCCACCTAACTGGCCTCTCTGCTTCTATTCTTAGTTCAATACTATAAAATCTTCTACAGAAGCCATCCAAGGCAAGGGTAGGGGTAGGAACCCTATATCAGATCTTGTCTCCCTTCAACTCAAACCCTACCAGGATTCCTCATTTAACTCAGAGTAAGAGTCAGTCTTATGTAGTCTATAAAGCCCTATAATCTTATTCCCCCAAATTCACCTTAAATTTTTCACTTCATTTTCTATGCTTTCTATTTGTCACCTCCACCAAGATATGCCAGCTGCACTGGCCTCTTTGGTTCTACCATAAAAGATTAAACATTTGCTATTTATTTATTCTGGCATAAGTCCAGAAATCCATGTGATTAAATCACTTACTTTCTTAAGTCTTTGCTCAGATTTCATCATCCCACAGAGGATATCCTGAGGGATTTTTTTTAAATCCTCATATTTTTCTTTTTTTTTCTCTTTTTGAAACATGGTCTCACTCTGTCACCCAGGCTGGAGTGCAGTGGCTCACTCAGGCTGGAGTGCAGTGGCTTGAATATGGCTCACTTCAACCTCTGCCTCCCAGGCTCAAGTGATCCTCCCACCTCAGCCTCTCGAGTAGCTGTAACCACAGCCACGTGCCACCATGCCTAGCTAATTTTTGTATTTATTTGGTAAAGATGGGTTTTCACCATGATGCCCAGGCTGGTCTCAAACTCCTGGGCTCAAGTGATCTGCCTGCTTCAGTGCTGGGATTACAGGCATGATCCATCGTACCTGGCCCTCATATTTCTAAATATTAGATATTAATATCTCATTCATTATATAAATTTTTATTGTCTGTTTTCTCCTGGTAAAATAAAAGCTGCACAAAGACAGGAATCTAGTCTCTTTATGCACAGATATAGCCCAAATTCCTGGAAGAATTCCTGGCACATATAACAAACACTTATTAAATAAAGTTACCTAACAATTATAAGAGTGCAGCATAGCTCCTTCTTGTATATATTCTGCTATGTTTCGGTATGTTCAAAAGACAATAGTAAGTACTGATTCTATGCAAGAGGTATATTTTTAAACAATGTGCTGTGTGGAAATCTTCACACTGCTGGCAGAGATAATTTGACATTGTAGTGCAGTGCTTGAAATGGCAAGCTGCTTGTTTTTCTATTCTGATGAGAAAAAAAGGCAATCATGAAAGCAGGGTTGGCTGTTCACAGAAGTTTTTACTGGAGTTGGCATGGGCAAAAAAAAGAAAAAACAAACAAAAAGTCATGAAATTCTCCCTTGAGTTGTCAGGAACATCAATATCAGAACATGGCTTGAATGCAGTGTTAACTAGTTAGAATTAGTGACCAAATACAGGCTGCATACCTGAAGGGAGTAGTGGGATAAAGTACGTATCCAGTCTCTTTGAAGGCAAGAATGAGCACAAGGCAGTAGTATTTTAATTAGACATTGTAATAAAATCATTCTGTAACTTCCCCTTCCCCTAGAAGAAGAGGAGTTTAGGCATTTTAGCAATAGCTAGAGTTTTGCTAGATAAATCACACACAGGCAAGGGTCAGGGCAATTTATAGCCTCAAAGTTTCAAAATCAGTTCTTATAAGCCATGGATGAACATCAGTGTTTTGAGCATATTAAAAAAAATTCATGACTATTTTCAAAGAGTTTTTTTTTGTTTTGTTTTGTTTTTAATGTTAACATGTGGCCAGGCATAGTGGCTCATGCCTATAATCCCAGCATTTTGGGAGGCCAAGGCGGGCAGATCACTTGAGCCCAGGAGTTCGAGACCACTCTGGTCAACATGGCAAGACCTCATCCTAACAAAAAATACAAAACAAAGTAAAACAAAATACCATTAGCTCGGTGTAATGGTGTGTGCCTGTAGTCCCAGCTACTCGGGAGGCTGAAGTGTGAGGATCTCTTCAGCCCCAGAGGTCAAGGCTACAATGAGCCAAGATTGCGCCACTGCACTCCAGCCTGGGCAACAGACTGAGACCCTGTCTCAAAAAAAAGGTTAACATGTAAGTATATATGTCTAGAATCCATATTGGTAACTGTTAATATACAATTTTATGGGAATAAAAAATTAAATCAAGTTAGTTAAAATTCATGATTTCAAATCAGATGTTTATTATTCCAGGGGAAACTTGGAAAAGATCTAAATTATGTGTTAATCAGTCCCAATAAAATAACTGCTACATGTTAAAGAAACTACTGGTCTAAGCTTTACCATGAAAATTTTGTTTAAAACATTTCACACTTTGATACTTTGTTTTCCTGAAGAGTAGAGGATATATTTTAATCTTTATTTGTTTACTGTCTGGCAAACAATAACAATTTAAAAAATATTGTTTAATAAAATAAAGAATGTAAGTACTATATTTGTATATTTAAGATAAAAATATTATCCTTTAGGTGCAGTCCATGCCCACTCTCTGTATCTAAAGAAAACTGACCCAATATCTGATTGGGGGGGAACAGATATATGGTCCCAAATAAACACACACACACACACACACACACACACACACACACAGAGAGAGAGAGAGAGAGAGAGAATCTGAATGGTTTAATAGCTGCCTTTGAGGCAGTATAAGAAGTTATTGAAATAAAAATCTTCTCAATTTCCATTCCCCAGGTCACTGTCCAAAGGCAACTAGTGATAACAGATTTTTCATTTTTGTAATTATCATATGCTTAAAACTCAATTTTTTGTTTTGCAAATTTGGATAATATCTATTTTCTTAACCCTATTAAGAAATATGTTAGTGCACTTAAACATTTATTTTCACCTCTACTACTTCCTCTCAGCCTCAATATTTGCTTGGTATATTAACATTTTTCTATTTTTAAGCTTTAAATAGGAACTAGGTATTGAATGGAAATTTATATTTTCAGGTTGGTGGCTGAGGCACCAAACATGAAGATAATAGATGGAATGATGTGCCCATTTTCTAGAGCAGTGCCAGAGCCAGACACAACCTTGTAGGACATAATGAGAGGCAATAAAAGCAGCCCAGCAAACATAACTCCCAAGAGCCTATATATCTTACTGATTCATTAGAAGAATGTTGATTAATTGAAGATCTTTTGTAGAGATTCAGAGTGCTGTGAAGTTTTCCTACTTAAAGATGCTCCTCACAATGGTTGAACCAGTTTACAGTCCCACCAACAGTGTAAAAGTGTTCCTATTTCTCCACATCCTCTCCAGCACCTGTTGTTTCCTGACTTCTTAATGATCGCCATTCTAACTGGTGTGAGATGGTATCTAATTGTGGTTTTGATTTGCATTTCTCTGATGGCCAGCGATGATGAGCATTTTTTCATGTGTCTGTTGGCTGCATAAAGGTCTTCTTTTCAGAAGTGTCTGTTCATATCCTTCACCCACTATTTGATGGGGTTGTTTTTTTCTTGTAAATTTGTTTGAGTTCTTTGTAGATTCTGGATATTAGCCCTTTGTCAGATTGCAAAAATTTTCTCCCATTCTGTAGGTTGCCTGTTCACTCTGATGGTAGTTTCTTTTGCTGTGCAGAAGCTCTTGAGTTTAATTAGATCCCATTTGTCAATTTTGGCTTTTGTTGCCATTGCTTTTGGTGTTTTAGACATGAACTTTTAGGTCTAACACTTAAGTCTTTAATCCATCTTGAATTAATTTTTGTATAAGGTGAAAGGAAGGGATCCAGTTTCAGCTTTCTACATATGGCTAGCCAGTTTTCCCAGCACCATTTGTTAAATAGGGAATCCTTTCCTCATTTCTCGTTTTTGTCAGGTTTGTCAAAGATCAGATGGTTGTAGATGTGTGGTATTATTTCTGAGGGCTCTGTTCTGTTCCATTGGTCTATATCTCTGTTTTGGTACCAGTACCATGCTGTTTTGGTTACTGCAGCCTTGTAGTATAGTTTGAAGTCAGAAAGACAGCGTGCTGATTCCTCAAGGATCTAGAACTAGAAATACCATTTGACCCAGCAATCCCATTACTGGGTATGTACCCAAAGGATTATAAATCATGCTGCTATAAAGACACATGCACACGTATGTTTATTGTGGCACTATTCACAATAGCAAAGACCTCGAACCAACCCAAATGTCCAACAATGATAGACTGGATTAAGAAAATGTGGCACATATACACCATGGAACACCATGCAGCCATGAAAAATGATGAGTTCATGTCCTTCGTAGGGACATGGATGAAGCTGGAAACCATCGTTCTCAGCAAACTATCACAAGGACAAAAAACTAAACACCACATGTTCTCACTCATAGGTGGGAATTGAACAATGAGAACACTTGGACACAGGAAGGGGGACATCACACACCGGGGCCTGTTGTGGGGTGGGTGGAGTGGGGAGGGATAGCATTAGGAGATATACCTAATGTAAATGACGAGTTAATGGGTGCAGTACACCAACATGGCACATGTATACATATGTAACAAACCTGCACTTTGTACACATGTACCGTAGAACTTAAAGTATAATAATAATAATAAAAATAAAAAGATGCTTCTTCATCCATAGTGAAACTGGTAGGAGTAAGGAAGAGAAACTTCTTAAAAGACATTTCAGATGTTTTCATCAAAGGGAAGGCTGGATTATCAGTCCCTACAGGACATAAGCCATGATAGATAAATTGTGGTAGACCTGCACCATGCTGCCACTAGAGCAGAGCATGAGAGAAACTCATAGGAGTTCCAGGAGTGTGGAGAGATATGTGGAAATAAGTACTCAAGCCCCACCTCTCATCCCAAGAATGCTGACTGCTGAAGACTACTGGCTGAACCAATCCATGTTGGCAGCAGCAGAAGAGGGAGCAAGTACTGGTCAAATTGGCAGAGCAAATATTTATGACCTTAGCAATCAGTCCCTCCAAATCAGTTTTGTGCAGAGTTTCCCATGGAAAGGTGGGTGACCCGTAAATCACTCTGCCTTTGTTTCTGACATGGCAGTGAACAACCAAAAGCCAAGAGAAACCCATGAAAGCCTCCAGCTGCATAAAAAGGTATTTTATTTTTTCCTACTATGCCTAGTTCACATGCCCTGATCCTAGAAGAGCCAGAAGCAGCCTAGTGAGTGGAAAAAATGAATAGTAAGAAGAAAGTAACAAAATCATGACAGAAAAAATCAAATCCTCTTTTTTTATTTCCTGATCCCTAGTTCCAAGCCCCAGGTAAACTCTAAACTGTAAGGAAAGTAGTATGGACCTGCATGCAAGAATGTAAAAACGGTGTAATCTCTGGGGCACCCTCTGCATTTGTGAATTTGGTATATTCCACCTTTATTTATTGCTCGATTCCTCATATGTTCTTTGAAGTTAATAATACATTTAAATTATGTGAATAATATTGAGTACTTTCTTTTTATAAGAAAATCACAGCAATATAAGTAAAGCAATAGCTCTCCTCGATCTTCATTTAATATAGTTTTCTTTCTAAGACATTGGTTTCATGTCTCAATAGTTTTGATGTGTATTTACCTAATTATTTTCACAAAGAACTTATATACATATATATGTATAAATTCTCCCTTTCTATAGATACAGAAATGTGTTTCATAAGCACTCTGAAATACTTCATATTAAAAACAAGTAAGCAAAATTTCCTCTTTAATTTGTTTCTAAGCACTTTTAGTTTTCATGAGTTCTCTGCCATTTAAATGGATTTTTATAAAAGGTGGAAGGTCAGTCTATAGATCCCTTCAATATAAACCTCTTGAAGCTGTTAAAAATTTTGTACATGTTCTTTTTTTTTCAAGCTCACATCTTAATTTTTAAACTTCTAAATAACATTTTTCTGTGTATCCTCACTCAGTAGCTTCCTGGACATTTGGTTTTTAATCATAGAACTGGGCATATTTAAACAAATTGCCACAACTACATAAAATATAGAATAACATAACTAAGAGAAAAAAATGTAGGAAAACTGAAGTGGTTCATGTGACGGAAATTGAAGCTTTGAGAAACCGGATAGTTTTCTTAAGTTTGCACAGTTGATCATGAGTGAATTCAGAAATCCCATCTGATTTTTTTTTTTCTTAGTCTAACCTTTTTTATATGGTTGCCTTTTCCCAAGGGTATAGCATAGCTAAGGAGAAAAATTGTTGTCTTTTAAATATATTATGTCAGTGGCTTCCTTGAACTTATGAGAACATTTCAAGGAGTGGATTTTTAAGTGATGCAGCAACATGTTGGACTTTCTCAAGTAAGGGTGTGACAGATTTCAAAGTTTTCTTTCTTCTATGTCTTCTCTTATACTACCTTCTTCTACTATGTTTTTAAATCCCACATTGTTGAATCCTACAAATCATATAGTCTAATGCTAGGTTATAGAGTTTCAAATAAACATACAATCTGTATGCCTGATAGTATTGTACAAAAGTAAAATAAAATTAAGGCAAAACATATATCACACTATCAAATCTCATTGATATAGCTAGAAGAATAAAAAAGTATCAGTAGCTTACCAGCTACTGGTAAGCTTTATGTAATATCTAGATATATTGAAATGTTTTATAGATATTTGTCTTTTTAAAGATCAGTTAATAAATTGTCATTTTGATATCAAATCAGAAAACTACTTGACAAAATTCCATTTCATGGACTGAGTCAAATGGTTAACAAAATAATCTATTAAAATTATTTAAAAGGCTTTATTTCTGTAGAAATATACAATGTATCATATACCAATAATATAACTCATATTTTGTTGATTCTATTGATTGTATATTTTTGTAAAACTAGCTATTTTAGTGTGTAATTCATCTTTGTGTGACAGAAGCATTTGATAATAGGTAGCAATCTTTTCTCCTTTTTTTTTTTAACCTCCCGTCGAGGCTGTATTTAGTTTTCTTTGTCACTGATATAATGTAATGTCATTATTATGACAAATGTCACCAATATTCCATTATCCCTAGAATGCCAAAGCATGAATCTCCTTTATGACTGTTGTAACATGGAGAGGTCTAGCTTCTGAGAATGTGCTGTCCAGAGACGATTTGTTTGAGAAGTTTCTATGTGACCCAGGATAAAGTACTAGCCCCTGTGCATCCTCCTCGTATTTTATTTCTAAATGTGATGAATGTAGTTGTCTAGCAAAGCTAACCTGTGTTTAAAACCAACAACTTCAGTTTCCAAAGCCTAAGACAGAAGTTCAGGGGGTACATATTTTTTCCTGATGCTAGAAGAAAGCCTAGATTGTTTGCTTTTTCTTCTTTTTAAAAGACAGGGTCTCACTCTGCCACCCAAGCTAGAGTGCAGTGGTGCAATCATACCTCAATGCAGCCTAGAACCCCTGGATTCAAACAATCTTTCCACTTCAGCCTCCCCGGTAGTTGGGACTACAGGCATATGCCACCACACCTAGCTAGTCTTTTTTATTTTTATTTTTTGTAGAAAAGGGGTCGGGCTATGTTGCTCAGGCTTGTCTCAAACTTCTGGACTCAAGCACTCCTCCTGCTTGGTCTATTTTCCTCTTTTTTAGAGAGAAATGCTTCAGCTGGAATAGCAAGGGTGAGAAGAAAGATTTTAAAAAATAAAAAGAATCTGAGACATTATCAACTCCATTTTGCAATTTACCATCAAAGAGGAATTCTCTCTCAAAGAAAGTTCTTGCTTTTGCAGTTTTGTTTAAAACCAAAACAAACACCCCCACACAAGTAATATAGAAAAAAAAGTTAGGTTTGATTTATACAAGACTGAAGGTGAGTACAAATAAACAATTCTTGGATAATCTCTTGAAATTTACATCTCCTTTCATCTTACTGAAGTGCAATTGATTGGAGGAACTGTCAGATAGATAGGCACTGATAAATTCCTTGGTTTGACCAAATGGACTGCACCTTCCTAATGAAATGATCAGGTGTTTCAATTTATGTATAACTTAAATATCAAAAAGTAGATAATGATTAATGTTTGTATGTGTGTATATGTGTATATATATATATATACACATACACACACACACACACACACACACACACACACAATGAGTAGTTAATATATTGAAGCTGGAGGAAATCAAACTTGGCTAAATTTTGAACTTCTAACAGATTCTTGGGTGATTATCTATATTACCTGAGACTATGTTACTGAAAGTGTGGTTCACAGAGCTGCAGGATTAGTATCACTCGGATGCGGGCTGAAAATGCACATTCTCTGGTTCCTCTCCTTTAGAGATGAGTGCTAGACCTACTGAATTGGAGTTTCTGGGAATGAGACTGAAGAATCGGTGCTTTAAAATGTTAAATGACGAGTTAATGGGTACAGCACACCAACACGGCACATGTATACATATGTTACAAACCTGCACATTGTGCACATGTACCCTAAAACTTAAAGTATAATAATTAAAAAAAAAGCCCTCCAAGTGATTTTTACACTTGTTACATTTGAAAACTGACCCAAGAGTTAAGCAGAAGGAATATTTGAGAATAGGATTTAATTTTTACCTGGGCAGCTGGCATGATTCAGGAGTTATCTGATAAATAACTTAGAAAGGAAAACATTGGGACTCAGATCACAAGTGAATGGTTATTTGAAATGATGAAATAAAGTCAAAATCCAGCCATGTACAATGTATGTCCCCAGGGAAACATTCCATCACATGTCCATGTTTTCAGTTATTCATGTATCTTCTAGGCTAACTAGAACTTCTAGGCTAACTAGAAGATTATAAGGTTCATGTGAGAGTTAACGGGAGCCAACTAGTCTTCAGAATAAACAACATGCCCTGTCTACATAAATTCCCCAAACCTCTCTAAAATTTGTATTTTGAGATTTCTTCTGCTTTATGTCTTTTTTTATTAGTTTATAGTGTTGGTGCAACACACATTTATTATGTTTTATATTGATTATATATTTAATATTCTATATTTCTTAAATTTAGTGAGTACTTTTGCAGTTAACAATTGGGACACATTGTCAAGTATGCTTTTTTAAGAAGCAATTATGGAAACTGTGAGACAGAATACTTGATAAATGAAATTCTGGAAAACTGTCAAGTATTGACAATGAAGCACTTGTTATGAGCTGACCCATTTAACATAAAAGTGATTAAACATTTTGATAAGCTACTTTATTAGATAAAACAATCTTTTTCACTTTTATTCTATAGATCTGGAATATTAAATAAAAAAGAATAAATTCTAAGAGGTAAAAAACTAAAAATGGACTTAAGTGACGAGAACATTTTTAAAAGAGTTTTTATTATTGTCTAATTTCAAAGAAACCACATAAGATTTTTAAAGTTGAAAAGGTACCAATTGATCTCTCCCATGTTAAAGTCTAGATAATTGAAACCCAGATAGATCAAGTGACTTGCATGTGACCAGGTCCAGGTACAAACGAGCAGCAGAGTAAACTCTAACCTAAGTCTTCATGGATGAATGCTGTAGCCATTTGACAGTGCTATTTTTCTTTTTCTTCTTCTTCTTCCAAGTTCCGAGCATTTTTCATGTTCCTCTCAATTCAGAATTTATGTGCAGCTATGAGTCTAGCTGTTCACTTATATGAACAGAAGCCCAAATAATGAAGAAAAACTGTAGCTATTAACAAATCATATATATCCCCTGGTTAAGGCGAAAATTACATGTAAAGTAAGAAAATTCCGATAAAGCCCTTGATTTGATTCCATACTTACCAGCAGAGATTCATCAGCCCTGCTATTAAGAATGTCTTTTTGATCATTTTTCTTCTACTTTTTGGGCCAGCAGGCTGGGAGATTTGCAGTGAGATGGGTGCTGCTATCACAACGCTTTCAGGATTCATGAGTTTCCTTGTCACACTGAATTTCCCTAAATACATATCAAAGCCCCTTATTTAAACTGTCACCAGTTCTGTGGCTTATTACATGCATTTTGAGGCAAAATTCACTTTACATTAATAGTCTTTCCTGGATGTTTGCTATGGAAAATATGGTAAGTATGTGTGTAAAATTTACTCTATTTCCTTTGAAATTATGACTTGAAAAGCATGCCTATAATTTAACCATTATTACTTTTGTAAGGAATATTTTTGAGCTACTCTTCTAACACATTTGAAGGAACTTTAATTGTTTACATGCACAGATATCATCAATAGATTAATTGGACAATAACAATTGAACTTTTTATACCTATTTTTATCATGTAAATATAATTATACAGTCCTTTTATTAAAACCAAGCCTTCTGTTTACTCTAGGAATGATTTTAGGAGTTGGATTCATTAAGAAATACACTATTACTTATGACAGGTATAGGGTTGAGTTACTTTAGATATGAGGAAAAGTATTCGTTTTTGCTTTAAATATAATGATCAAAGCCTGGTTAATTATGAAGAATATGGCAAAGGGAAAGGAGTCTGACATCCTTGTGATTTGCTTCACTTACCATAAAATTTGTTATCACAGAGTTCTCCATCTGCATTTGCCTCACACGTAGATCTTGGGCTTGACTTATAAAAAAAGTCTTTAATAAATAACCAATAAATGACCAAGTGGTGAACATCAAACATACTTCCTTGCCCTCAGGGTTATAATAGTCAGCATAAGTCATTAGTGTAAGTAGATGAGAGTCAGAACAAAAACCAAGTTCCATTCTTTCCCTATTTTTTTCTCTTATGTCAATAAATGACATTACAAGCTATCATGCTCTTTGGTAGGAAATCTGGAAATCTCTCGGTTCTTGGTTTTCATCACCACTGCTATGATTCTCCACTTCTAATCCTTCAGCCAGTCCTCTGGGTTCTACCTTCATGCTCTAATCTGCAGTTATTTTCCATTTCTACCGTACTAAAGATCATATTGTCTCAGGACTACTGCAAAATTTTCCCAAGGTTTCTTCTCATTGCTACATTTGTTGTGTTCTTATTCATGATCTAAAAAGATCACCTGCAGTTCATTCTCGCCTAAAATTTGTCAGTGACTTCTTTTTGCAATGAAATTACACTCCAAACTTCTGTGAATGAAGTATTAAGTCTTCTGTGAACTGAGGCTGCATAAATTGCAGCTTATCTTTCCAAATCCATTTCACATCATTCCAGTGTTTGCTTTCTTTGCTACCCACACTGCTCTTTCCTTGGTCTCTACCATGTCAAATTCTTTCACCTTAGTCATTTTCTGGAGTCTTTTCCCCAGGCTTTTCCCTGCATTTTGTAAAGTTGTCTCCCAAGGTCCAGGACTTCATTGGTTAGCTTCTTCAAAAATCTCATTTTGGGTTCCTAGGTGTCTTTTATATCAAAGCATAGAAAGAAAAGAAAAGAGTAGCTTGAAATGAAACTAGGGAGGTAAGTGGGGATCAGTCATGAAGTCAGTTTTGTAGGTTGACTTGGCTTGAATGTTGGCAGAAACATTTATAAAAGTGAACATTCCTATAGGGAAGGGTTAATGTGATGCCTAAGAAAAGATCATCTTTTATAACAATTGTCCAGAATAGAAGGAGTAATTAGGCAGAAAACAGGTCTGGTGACTATCATTCTTGGCCTAAACATCCTGAAGACCAAAACAGAGATGTTTCAAGTGGTTGTGTTCACATTTAGAGAGGTTATGGGTATAGGGGGTTACCATGTGGGAGAGAATTAGAGTTTAAGCAGGGACCTCTGTATATTTTTTATTACTTTTTATTATTTATATGTATATATTTATTATATTTTAAGTTCTAGGGTATATGTGCACAAAGTGCAGGTTTGTTACTAATGTATACATGTGCCATGTTGGTGTGCTGCACCCATTAACTCGTCATTTACATTACGTATATCTCCTAATGCTATCCCTCCCCCATCCCTGCACCCCACAACAGGCCCCGGCATGTGATGTTCCCCTTCCTGTGTCCAAGTGTTCTCATTGTTCAATTCCTTAAGACAAGCACTACTTAGGCAATTTATATATCAAGACAATAAAGTTTGGATTACCTTACAAAAATAATTATATTCACATAAATTATTATTATGTATTGTATATTACTAAGTGCCAGGCAAGTTCATGTTCATAGATGCTTATGTTGATTTCTGACAGCATCTATATAAAGTAACATGACAGCTTTTTTTTTTTTTTGACAGGGTCTTGCCCTGTCACTCAGGCTGGAGTACAGTGGTATGATCATGGCTCACTGCAGCCTCGACTTCCTAGGCTTAAGTCATCTTCCCATCTCAGACTGCAGAGTGCTGACACCACAGGCAGGCAACACCACCCCCAGCTAATTTTTTTATATTTATTTATTTATTTATGTAGAGATGGAGTTTCCCTATGTTGTCTAGGCTGGTCTTGAACTCATGGACTTAAGGAATACTCCAGGCTCAGCCTCCCTAAGTTATAGGGTTACAGGCATGAGCCACCATGCCTGGCCCATGACAGCTTTATAGTTGAGGAAATTGAGGCTGAAGTTTATTGAAACACCACCAAGATTACATAGCTATAAAACATGTAAATTTGGATTTGACTGCAAACCCCATACTTTTCTAGTAACTTTTTCTTCCTTTTAAACATAATAGTAAGCTGCATTTACCCTTTCTATATTTTGATTATTTTCCATAGAGGAATTTTTAAGTAATATTTTGAATATCTACCCACTGTAGTAGTTTTATTGGAAAGCAGTGAATAGAAAAATAGTTAATTGCTATGTGCCTGAAGTGTTATGTGTAAGACAAATATATAATAATTGACACAGTTTTTCCCTTCCTTTCTTGATTTTCTTATCTTCTCATGCTGTTATGATAAGCCTATGTTAGCCTAGAAATTTCACAACTGTTTCATGCACTATTAAGGGAATCAGTTGTTGGTGCTTTGATGCTGAGCTTACGTGTTTTTTCTGCATATGAATGTCTGGCTGCCTGTATCTATTGATTTTCCCAAGCAACTTTCCTCTCTCTTTTTACTTAAATCTCAGTTAATTCTTAACAGTGTCTCATTTGTAGAATTATATCAATGTAGTTGCCTGTTGTGATAACTTCTCTATCAAATGTAAAAGGGAGATAAAACACATCTCTATGTCCGTCACAATTTTCCTGTTTTCTTGGATACATACCTAACGTTGGATGCCAAAATGCTGCTACATTATTGTATTTCCTTACTTTATAAATTAAAATATAACACATATACAGCAAAATGCACATGAAAATAAATGTAAAGCTTATTGTAGGATCTAAAACTAAATACCTGTATAACCACGATGAGAATGCTACTAGCATCCCAGACATCACCTGTTGGCCCTGGCCAATAATACCTCTCACACAAGATGACATAAATCTTGACTTTTAATGTTGAGTCCATTTTTGCCTTCGGTTGAGAATCATGAATGGTGCTACCTTATGTGTTCTTTAACTCAGAATTGTCTTTGTAAGCCCCATCCATGTGTGGCATGATACTGTATTTTATTCATTTTCATTGTTGCATATCATTTTTTGAATAATATAAAAGCATTTAACCATTCTATTTATGATGGACATTTGGAGTCTTTCCAGTTGTGCATTCTATATAACGCTGCTTGGAACAATCTTAAATAAATCTCTTCATGCAAATAGTTCTGTTGGAAACAGACCTAGGAATGGAAGTACTGATTCATATTACATAGATATACTGGTGGCTGGGTGAATTAATAGTCCACTAAAAGCATATGAGTAGACCTATCACTCCCTATCAATCTGCTGGCTGTGTAGTAGTATTTCATTGTGATTTCAATTGGCATTTTCCTGATTACAAATGATTTTGAGGACCTTTTCTTATGTTTATGAGCCAGTTGGAAATTATAAAGTACCTGAATATGTCTCTTGACAATTTTTCTACCAGGTTGTTCATCTTTTTTTATTGATTTTAATGAGTTGTGTAAGACTCATTTATATGCCATAACTTTGCTATGTTGGTTACATGTGTTGCAAGAGTCTCTTCCCACTATTGGGTTTGTTTTTTCTCTGCTGGTTTTTAATTTTGACGTGGTACAATTTATTAATCTTTTTCTTATCTGTGACTTTTGTGTCCTAAGTAACAAACCCATATGAAAATCATAAACATATTTTCCTGTAGCACATTCTAGGAACTTTATGTCTGTATGCATGTCATAACTTATTTTGACTTGTATAATTGAATCTACAGTGTGTATTTACATCTCAATGTGATGTGGGTAACATTCAAGTTTCATATTTCCTATACAGATAATTCTCTAAGCACCATTTATTAAAGCATTGCCCTTGTTCCCAGATCAAAAACGTTCATCATTTCATGAATGGCTTTACTATTTTAAACCTCTGCATTGTTGAAGTAAACTTGAAAATAAAAATTTTAATTTACACATGCACACATACATACACTCACACATACACAATCGTGTTGGAATTTTTATTGGAATTGCATTAAATCTAAAAATTAATATAGAAAAATTGGTGTCTTTGAAATATCTTAACATGAAAAATTCCTCGATTTATTTATATCTTACCAAATGCCTCTCAAAAACATTTAAATTTTTCTTAGAATTCTGATATGAGCTTTATTCCAAAGTATGTATGTCTATGTATGTGTCGTTATGATGAGCAGTATCATTTTACATTTATTTTTCTGACTTTTGTATATAAAAATAAAAATAAATTTTTAATATTGACTGTGTCCAGAAAAGAAAAAAAAAATTTTAGTTAACCAGAAACACAGTTTGCATTACACACATTGCCATATAAAATTACTTAATAAATATTATAAATAATTTAATGTATTTTCAGGTAAATATGATTTATTAAATATTGTTATTTTCTTGTTATCTCATCATTTCTAGCTTAATTCCTCTCCAGATAGAGAACATATTCATATAATTTTAACTCTTTAATATTTCATGAGACTTCTTTTATGGCTCAACATACAGTTAATTGCTATAAATTAACTTTTTAAAATATAAATTCTTCCATTTGGTGTAGCAGTCTATACTTGTTAAGTGGAGTTTCTTAATCGTGTTTAGATCTCTGTCCTTACTATGCTGCACTGTCATTGCCAACTCTCCATTGGCACTGTCTTCTAGGCTCCCTCTGCATCACAGAGGAGACAAGAACTACATTTCCACAAATTCCCATTAGGAGGCACTTCGGTTGAGCTATGATTCCTTATGGATTTCACTGGCCCTGTCTTGTCTGCTCATTTACCTGCTTATGTCTTGGTGAGTGTTGGAAATTGTGTATGGTACATTATAGATAGTGTTTGATCCCTGGATGATACTCTATTAACAGTGGCGGCCGACCAAGAGCTTTACAATTTTAGCTCACCTCAATCGATCATGATTTATAATGTTTCATAATTTATCCCTGCAAAGGCCAATATTTGCCTAGTTTATTCTTAATCCTGCAATTTAGTTCCTCAGAGTCCCCAAATAATGTGGATATGATTCTGTAGGGCCTCTCTCCCTTGACAGACCCTGTGCTCCCAAATTGATTTCCTTAGTTTTTCAAGGTTCCAACCCTCTAGGTTATCTTCTCCAGAATTGTAATATGCTCTTATTACAGAAGCAGCTGCAAATCTGAGCTCACTTCCTGGGTTTTCTTCTTCTATCTTGGTCGCATACGGTTTTAGGATCTTGTTAGTTTGTTAGTGCTTTCAAGCAGATTTATTATATTTTAACCAGTTTTTTTTTCTAGTTACTTACAGCAGGACAGAGTCTGGATTTAACTACTCTGCCCCTACCAGGTATGAGAGTAATCTACATTTTCTACTCACTATGCTCTTAAGCACATCAATTAAATATTTGTTTATCATTGTGAAAAAAAATAAAACAGTTTTATGAGGACACGGACTGTCATTATTTGTTATACCTGTAGACACATGGTTTAGCATGAGGCATGAGGCCTAGCACAAGGTTTATACTTACTGAATATGTACTAAAAGAATAAAAGAATTTACGGCTTCAGTTAATTTCTTAAACAATCAGTATTTACAAAGTTATTAACACATACATTTCTCATTATTTATGAAAGAGTATTATAATAATCTCCTGACTTATTCACTCTCTAAATACTAATAATTTGTTTCAAATTGGTAACACATAAAGTTCAACTGTTCTAGATTATATCCAAGTGCCGTAAATTCTGCCAATGAAATCTCCCAGGCATGAGAGTATGCCAAGTTACTTCAATCCTATTGTTTAAAAATAAAATTAAATGATCTTTCTACATTGTCTTGAAAAGTATATTTTATTTCTCAAAAATAGTCTTCATACTCTTCTCACTAATCTACTTTTGATAGAGTACTTTTCATAAATCAGACTCTATAGTCAGAAAATTAAAATGTTTTATTAAAAATATTTTATATTAACATTGTTATCTAATAGTAAAAAATATTGCTACATTTACCCATAAAAAATTAAAAAGTCAAAATAAATTTGACTTTTGCCAGAGAAGAAATATTTTCAGTAAGGAACTTAGAAGCCAATGTTTTATTATATTGAGACAAACACCTAGACTTTGTATTAGAATAAAAAAAGGATATAAATTCCTTAAGGAATTTTTTTATACCTGTCAGTGTACAACTAAATTGGTAAGTACTATATGATTCTAACATTTTTCCAGATACAAGAAATGTGAAAAAATGGTTGTCCTTCATTCTAAGTTTGGGAGTGAAGTGACTGCAATAAGATATAGATAGATATGAATCAATCCTTACTTGTTTAATTCAGGAACAAATTTGTTTAAATTCAACCGTCTTCTTAATCATCTAGAAGTATATTTTTACAAATGTATATAATGCTATAACCAGCTTTGTTAATGTTCATTTGAAAACATTTTTATAACCTCATCTCCACCACTCCTCCTTTTTAAATTTTGCTCTAACCACCTTTTCTATTCTTCTGCTCCTCCAATCAAATACATTCTTCCTGCAGAGGCTTCAGAGACACAGCATTTGCTATTTTCTCTGCCAGAAAGGCACATTACTCAGAAATACTTATAGCTCAGTTATCGCTTTATTTGGGCACCTGGTCATATTTCACCTAATTTGAATGTGTTTTCCCCATTTACTATACCTAATTTAATACTCCTTTCCCCTTACCCTGTTTTATTTTTTTTCTTAACTGTTATTACTCCCTGACATAATGTAAGTGTGTTTATTGTCTGTGACCTTACACTAAAAGTTTTATGAGAGCAAGATCTTTGTTTCGTTCATGTCAGCAACCCAGCACCTTAGCAGAGGCAGGTCCAGAGCAATCTCTGAGTGCATGTCTGTCGAGTGAGAGATGAATGATGCTCTTTGCTCCACAGCCAGTTTACGAGGACATGGTTTTCTCTCTCATTCCTGCCAGCCTTGTTCCTAAAGCTTCCTCATCGTTACCAAACAGGATTTATTGTAGAATCTGCTTTGCCAACATTTTTGGTATCTATTCTTTTAAAAAATGAGGCTTTAACCTGTACCCATAGATCACAATCTCCAAACTATATTATAATCTCCAGACTAGAGGATCGTTTTATGATCATATCTCACTGCTGCCTTGAACTCTTGGGCTCAAGTGACCTTCCCAGCTTTGCCTCCCAAGTAGCTGGGACTATAGGTGCATACCGCCATGCCTGGCTAACTTTTTGTTGTTGTTGTTGTTGTTGTTGTTAGAGATGACATCTTGCTTTTCTGCCTAGGCGGGGCTTGAACTCCTGGCCTCAGGTGATCCACCCACCTTGGCATCCCAAAGCATTGGAATCACAGGCACGAATCACCATGCCTGGCTCAAAGTACATATTTTTTAAGAAATTGGAGGAAAATGACATTGTTTTAAAAAGTTGTAAAGTAGGAAAAACTACATATAAGTTCTGTTTCTAATTAGATTTAGGGTATATATTTTAACTAAATAGCTATGGTTGGACATAAAATACATCTACCATTCAATAATTTTTAGTTATTATATAATTTTTGGTTCATGCAATATATTTTCTTCTATTGAATAATTAAAAAAAGAGTTCAATCTCTCCCTTTCATTATTCTTTCAATTGATGAGTAAAATGAAGTAGAATTGAAATAAATTTATCACTAATTTGGGAAACTAGTAGATGTGTTATATTTTGATGTAACATTAAGAACAGGAAGGCCAGACCTAGAGGAATATTACATGATATGTTTAATACTAAATATATCCTTGTAAATTGTTTTATATTAAATATTTTAAAAACTAATAGAAAAAATAGCTATGGCAATTATTTCTTCTAATATAAATATGACTTGCACAGATTCTGAGGATTACTCTGACAAATTTTAAGGTAGACATGAGCAGAGGGAAATAAATGAGACTTCAGCTCCATAAGGAAAGGTAGAATGCCTTATTCACTTCTCTAACATCAAGCCTCCAGATATACTCTTTGGATGTATAAATGAGTTAATTTATATCAACATTTTCTATGGACCGAATACTTGTGTCCCTTCAAAATTAATATGTTGAAGCCTTAACCTCCAATGTGATGGTATTCAGAATATGTGGCCTTTGGGACGTGATGAGGGTTAGATGAGGTCATAAGGGTTGGGCCCTGGTCTGATGCAATTAGTGCCCTTATGGGATTAGACATCAGAACTCTCTATCTCTCTCTCTCTCCTTCTCTCTGCACACAAAGAAGAGTTAGTGTAAGCACACAGTGAGGATGTGGTCACCTGGACTTCCAGCCTCCAGAACTAGAAGAAATACATTTCTGTCATATAAGCAACCTGGTCTATATGATATTTTTTATGGCAGCTTAAGCTGACAAATACAATATTGTAAACTAATTTTTAGCTGTAATATTGTATCACATAGTCAACAAAACTGAACCTTGAAGCACAAATTAAAATTGAGATATTGTATATATCTTTTCCTCGAAACTGAAATGGGGATTGGAATTTAGAACTGTGTGTTTCACAGTATCTTATTATAATATTTAAATTCTCTGTCAGAATTTGCATAGCTTACAATTTGGACTACCCAGAATTTCCACAAATGAAATAAGTTATGCTGTTATTATAACACTAAGTGCTTTATGGAAAGACTGAACATACCTGTGGGAAACATTTTATGAAAATATATTTCCAACCTCACTGATAGAATTGGAAAACATAATTAAAGTGATTGTTAGGTGCTGAAATAGTTTATCACCTTTATGCTGTGTTTTAAAAAGTGTTATTCCTAATGGGACTGTGTTTTGTTATATATAATAATCTGTTTCTTACTTTTCTTTGGAATTTAAGTATGCTCTTTATTTCAGATGCATTCATTATACTTAAAAACAATGTATTGCAATACTGAGAGAACTGGCTATTGTATGGGAGGAAAAGGGGTATATGGGGAGTGGAAAGAGATAGTTCTGGTCTCACTTATGAAAGTGAAGAATGTTATGCATGAATATGTGTATTTAGTTTTTTAAATTCATGGTTTTGTTTTTACTTCCGTACGCTATTTATAAAAGATGGCCACCTACCATTTTGATGCAAATGGGTTTTCTTTAATAAGCCAATCATATCATATCTTTGGATATATACATACTTTCTCCTCTTGGTTATATTCTGAGTCCATTTGGTCATGAGTTCTGCTTTTATAAAATTATGTAAATAGCATTAATTCATAGACTAGTTGTGATGATAAGATTAAATAATTGGGAAAAATCCTTTATAAATCAAACAAACTCTGGCAGTATTCCCAGCTAGAGTAATAGAAAGATATTGGCAAATCTCCTATGAAAGCAAGTATAAAACTGTACAATATTGTAGAAAATAAGTATTTCAGGACTCTGAAGTTAATTAAAGGCAAAAACAAACTGAGGAGTATTTATTTGTAAGAAACTTCCAGAACTTTATTAACAAACAGTGAGACTCTCTGGCCTTGCCTGGGGCTGCTCCCATTCCCACCCCACCCCTCCTAGCTCTGTCTGCACCTAGTACCACCAGAAACACTAGCAACTTTGCTAATAAAGGCAACTGACTGGATTTGGAGCAGAAAGTGAAAAACCACACCCTGTGGCATAGTCAGTAAAAGTAGCAAACTAAATTGGAAAGGAGGATGGAAATCTGAAGCTCTGGCAGACATTAGTTATAGAGTTGATTGAGGAAAGTGGCAGAAAAGCCAGATATTTAAAAAGGAAATAAAGCCCGGAAATGAAACGTCCCTGGAAGGGATAAGCAAGCTCCCCATACATCCCTGACTGACTAGAAAATAACTGAGCTGACTAGAAAACAGAGGAAACTGAACTGTACTGGTGGAAAGTGAAAGCTTAGGCAGAATTGAAAATTGTCCAACTCCCACTCTACCCCCCAGATCCATCTGCCTTCGGGCACAAGGCATTTGAGCAAAGCCTTTGCCCAATCATTGGCTGACCAGAACTCATACAAACACATGGAAATCTGGCCTTGTGGCTAGAGGAAAAAAGAAATTAAGAGAAAGATTGAGTAACACTTATGTTAGTTTTAAGATATATTTTTGTGGATACAATTTTCATTATATTTCAGAAAATAACTAAAATGATTTTTTTAACTATGTCGTAAGATTCTGAAGGTCTCCCAATGAACTACAAACGTAGTTCAGCAATGCACTTTGAATACTTAAACTTCTGATGCCACAAACAAATATATAGGGATCAAAAACTCAAATTGACAGGAAAACATGAACTTTACTCATTTTTACAATGATTGACTTAAATCCCTGTAAATCTGCTGAGATATATAAAAATTAGGGGAGCCAACTAGTTGGGATCACAGTCTGTGTGAACTGTATACTGCCTTGTACATTGTTAAAAGTTGGTGCTTTTCTGTGACAATGTAAAACTACTGGTTAGAGCATCAAGACCATTAGCCCGAGAGCATTATTAATTTTGCTATGTGCTCTGCCAGACCCCTATTGACTCCAATAGGGAAGGCACTGTGTCCAAGAGGCTGCAAAAGAGACCCAGGACCAGTGATCCAGACATAGGGATTATTGAGGACTTAAATACAGGGGTGGTCCAATGGTAGCTGGCTGCACAGGAGAATTACTACTGTTTATAAAAAGCATGCAGTTTTTATATCATTTTCATTTATCACCCTCCACCTAGCAACCTCCATTTAACCCAAAACAAAGTGCCTTGGTTCCTTACATGTCTATATTCCAAGGGATGGTCCAGGAGTTAGGCTGTTCTTCACAGAAAAGGAGTGAAACTGGTTGGCCCCTCCTGGCTTTTTTAGCTCAGATCTCCAAACACACATTCTTCTTAGGCCTTAGGGTCATTCTCAGGGTTTGCTTAAATTACTGTTGTCAGATGCATCTGCCATACACTATACTCTGGTTGTAAATAGACTTGACCTTAGTTCAAACACATTCTTTGTTCCAAGGATAATACAAAATAGTTGAATGCCAAAAGAATCTTATTATTAAAATTTTCTCAAATTGCAGATTCTTCTGATGAAAGGATAGCTATATTTATTAACTTTAGTCCAGTTTTTCCCCAAAGACCAGCATTATCCAAATTCATAAATGTGCATAAACAAATTCAGCTTCTTAAATTTATTTGTGCATACAACCATACTTAAAACCAATAATTTTTATATGTCCGTTTCAAATGTTCATATGGTATCAATGTCCTTGGTTTCTTTACAAGAGTAAAATATATCTTCTGGGTTTAACCAAGACATCCAGAAAAAATTTCTCCATTTAAGAGCATAAAGCTAGCATCAACTGTTAATTTGTAACCATGCCCCCAAAGAAGTTTTACAATGTTAAAACAAAAACAAAAAAAAAAACAAACAAACAACAGCAACAAAAAAACTTAGGTAACCAGAAACAGACTGCATTGCACACATTGTCATCTAAAAATCACCTAATAATTGATAATCCATTTACAAACAATCCAATATTGCATTCCCAGGTAAATGTATTTTCTTTTTGGTATTCTTCATTGACAAGAGCCACTTCTCAGGATTCTGTGGTATTTCTTATGGGAGTGGGAAATACTCTTGAAATGGTGGCCTCTGCCTCAATCTTTTTAAAGCAGTTAGATTTATATTTTATAGCCTCAAGCTATGCATGTTGGAAGGCATGTAACAGAATTGGTTCTTTTTTTCTTTTTTTTAATAGCCCACACTTTTAGGAGAACTTAAGAGACTTTCCTAAGGAAGTCAAAGGAAAAGAAAGAAAGTTTCAGGTAAGAGCAGGGTGACTAGATGGAAGCAGGACTTTCTTTAAACTATATGGAAAGTTTCTAGGCCTGAGAAAGAAAAAGAGGGAGACATTTTTGGATCTACACACAGTTAGAATAAGGGCTTCAGGGTTTTACAGAGAAATGATCACATTACCTTGGGCTCTAGGCACAGGGTTTCAAAACTCAAGAAAAATATCTATACACAAAGAATTTCAACAAAATTGTGGAGACCCACCACACCTGAAGGGAACCTATGTGTGGGATGTTTGATGATGTGTGTAGACAGACAACTAAAGACTAGAGACACCTCTTCCCTTGTACCCTAATTAATGTATAGGGTCTTGGAACCAGAGTAAAAGAAAGGAGGGAACATTACAATCACTGAGTTCAACTGTAAGGTCAGCCCAAGAGAATAGAGACTCAATGATGAACCTTAAAGTTATTTATAAAAACATCTAATGGTATTTCTCTCACAACAGAGTTTATGGACTGAGATTTGTACCTGTTCCTTATATATGTGAAGTTCCAATTTGATTATGGGCCATATATTAAATTACTTTATTAAAATAGAAAATAACAGTTTTACAAATTTAATGTAAGCATCTAATAATAAATACTCTTAGATTAAGCATATACTTTTCCTCTTTGTACCTATGACTTTAAAGCTAATCATTTCTTTGCTATTTAAAAATAATAGTTGATAGCATTTTTTAGGCACTAAAACAAATGAAATGAAATCCTATTTTTAAACCTTATCATAATGTTCCAAAGACAGACTAAAATATAATAAAATGTAAAATGGTTTTTCCTTAGAAGAATTCATTTAGCAAAACAAAAAAGGGAAAGAACAACTTGGAAATGATCAAAAATATTCTTTACATTCTGAATATTTGGACAGATGGAGGAAAAATTAACATGAAAAAAGTGGATATTCCTAGGACAAAAATGCTTTCAATCAGGAGTAAATTCATAAGCATCTAAAAATTTGAAGATGAATTCACTTCATTACTCTCATCAAATAATTAGAAATGGTACAGTGATCTCGAGGAGAGAACTAATTTTTTTAAAAAGAGACACTCAGGTACAATAGATTCAATTCATACAAATTATAAGAGCAAAATTTTGTTCTAAGCCACCAAGTCTAAGTTCACATGCGGCATTTTACTATGTTAAGCAGATGTCCTCTGTTAGTAATAATAAACTTCTGAAGCCACACTGCCTCTACTGTATCAGCGAAGACCTTGTTACCTCTCACAGAGACTATTTTGATGGCCTTCCAATTGCTTGCCTCTAGTCTCCTCTAAAAAGAAAATCACATTTTGCCCTATTGCCAGAGAATGTGTTAAGAAGCTAATCATGGCTCTGATGATGTCCCTGCCTTGCATAAAAACTCTCTACTGGCTATAAAATAAAGTACACATTTCCTAGTTTGACATTCAGGGATTAGTAATTTAATTAGTATAAGCATAATTTCCTATAAGGCACTACAAAATAAAATTTAAGTTTTATTTACTAATGCTCTATCAATACATAATAATAAATTTTTGAGGAATAGAAGTGCAGTAATGAAAACCACACTACAGAGATAAAAAACATGGGTTCATTCATAAATCATTTAAGAATATAAATATTAACTCTATAGAAACTAGGTAAGTAATATTCAGTTGTGTGCTGATAAAGCAGCTCTCTGCAAAAAAAAAAAAAAAAAAGGCAAGCAAGCAAGCCCTGACTTTCAGGCTTTGCCATTTTCTGTGGTATAAATACTCCCACCATGGCCATTTAAAAGCTACCAATGGTTAACAACCTTCACACAAAATTTAACAATTGCCTTTTACATGTTGGCATGAGCTTACTCAAGCACATTAACCAATCTGGTAGATATTCCTAGGACAAAACTGGTCAAATTTCTTATTCTTTCTAATATTTAGTTTTCTTATTTATAAAATTGGCCTAATAAGCTCCATATTGTAGTGTTGTTCTGGGGTTTAAATGAGATAATAATATACTACAAAGTTCTTTTCTCCCTAACAATCTCAAAATAAATACTCAATAATGGTGTTTATTTTTATTATATTAACAAGATACATTAAATGAATTGAATGCAGGGATTAAAGAAACTAAGTATAATTTCTACACTTTACAAAGTTACCATGGTGACATTTTAAAGTGTAATATAAATATAGAATGCTGTAGATCACTTGATCAACAAGGCAGATACTATAATAGAGGAATCACAAACTAATAGTGAATTGAATTTCCACATGGTAAGTTAGACTCTGAAATTTTCAATTGACTGAAATACAACTCCTTATGCTCCTAGACCTATTTAGATATTTATATTATCATCTTGTCTTTTGAAATTATTTGAATTTATTGCAATTGGTACAATCAGATAATGTGGAAAAGAGATTTTATTGAACAGAGGCTCAAGATTAAAGAATGGGAATTAGAAAATGTGAGGGCCTTGATTTTTGCCTATCATTACTAGAAAGTTACAAGTTATTTATATTAATATATTTTCTGTACTTCTAACTATAGGTATTATGAGTTGTAACGGAGAGGAAAAGAACCTCATCTACTATATTTAAAGACATGATCCAAGAATGGTTTCTGATTCTCATTTTAACTCTGACTTAATGTTGAATAACTTTCCCTTTGCCCCTTCATTTTTAGAATTAAAACAACTTGATTTCCAAGAGAGAAAAAGTGTGTTTTAAAGAATTTTTAGTCTTTTTTTAAAAATAAAACTTTTTCTAGCCATGTATGTTTTCAAGCAAGACTCACCACCATAGGGTGCAATCAACAGCCGAGAAACAGGGCAAACTACCTTGCCCACAAGGCACAGAGTTTACGACCTTGGCCTCATTAGCATTAACCTGCCCTAAGCAAGTTACTGGGTCAGTACAAATTGACACTGAGTAAGGTAAGATAATGGGTGCTACTCAGATATTAAAATTATTATTTTGCTTAGTTGAAGTTTCACACCATATCTATATCATTAATCTTGGGATTTTTTTCCAAGCTGTATACACAACCACGTCAATCATATTTACTAGATAGAAGATTATTATAAGAATACCAGAGATCTTTCATCCAAAACCTTGCTGAGGATAAAATCGTGACAGTATTGTGGTGATTTTATTTATATGTTTCAAGTCATAAAAAAATCTCATTTTTATTATTAATAAAAATATTATTCTCTGTTTACAGATGAATAACTCCTCTCTGATAAAATGACACAGAAAGTTTAAAAATTTGCAGTAACCATTTCAATTAAATTTGTATGTAAAAAGTCAGTATTTTTCTTTAGTTGTTAAAATGACAACATGCTTCATAGTTTCCACAATGGTACAGATAATAGTATTATAAAAACATCGATAATTTTGCAGATTAGGAAAGAAACTGAAAATATCATCTATCATTCAGCAAACGTTTCTGAGAACTTCACTTGTACCAAGTTATGTTTAAGGAACTGAGGGTTTGACAGGGAATCGATCTCCTTGTTATCTTTTCTAGCTCTCATGGGGATAGATGGTACTTCCTATGCTCATGCATAGCGTATGCACAATCATATATATTTTAAATTATGTTTTTTAGAAATATACACAGCTTTTTCACCTGATATTTTATTTTTGTAATTCATCCATGGTAAAATATGAATTCTACTTCATTCTATTTTACTGCCAAAATAATATTTAGTTGTATACTTCTATTCCAATTTAGGTATAAATCCTCTTATAAATGAAGATGTTTTCAATATGTTGCGTTATAAAAAATGTCCCAGTGGTTATAGTTTTATACGTCTTCTTGTGAATATTTTATTTATCTATTTATTTGTTTGTTTGTTTGTTTGAGATGGAGTCTTGCTCTGTCACCCAGGCTGGAGTGCAGTGGCACAATCTCGGCTCACCGCAACCTCTGCCACCCAGGTTCAAGCAATTCTCCTGCTTCAGCCTCCCGAGTAGCTGGGATTACAGGCGCCCACCACCATGCCAGGCTAATTTTTGTATTTTTAGTAGAGACGGGGTTTCAAAATCTTGGCCAGGCTGGTCTTGAACTCCTGACCTCGTGATCCACCCGTCTCGGCCTCCCAAAGTGCTGGTATTGCAGGTGCGAACCACCACACCTGGCCAAACATGTTTATAAGTAGTTACCATTGGGTGAGCAGTTACAAACATTTTTACCTTAACTAGATATTGTTAAATTCTTTCCCAAAATTGTGTTGCCACTGTTCATCCCTACTGGCGGTGTCTGAGAATTTCTGTTGCTCCATGTCCTCCTCAACTTGCGGCATTGGCAGTCTTCTCTAATTCCTTTTCTGTTCTATTTCTTTATTTTTTTAAAAAATTCCTTCCTCTGTATTTCCTTGTTCTTTTTCTTTCTTCCTTTTCTTCCTTCCTTCCCTCCTTTTCCTCCTGCCTTCCCTCCTTCTTTCCATTCCTTCCTTTCTTGCTTCTCTTTCCTCCCTAGTTTTCTCCCTCTCCCCCATCCTTTATTTGTTAGACATGAAATGTTATCATATTATTATATGTGTTTATATTTCTAAGATGTAAGGAGGTGCAAATTTTCTTATGTTTATCGTCTGTATTTTTTTCTCCAAATAGACCATCAATATTTGTTTGGATTATTTCTTCAACTAGATTCACTCTTCTTAATCTGTAGAAGGTTTTAATTTTTTAAAAATTATTATAGATGATACTGGTAGATTTAATTTGCTAAAAATGTAGATATAAATACCAGCTGCAATGATCTAATCATTTGCCAAGTGAGATTTATAAGCATTATAGGTATTTTCCACTCACTAAATAGAAGTAAATTCAGACATCTGTTAACCCCATTTTATTTCCTTTCCCTCTCCCATTACCCTAACTTCTAGCATGATGTGTGTTAACAGTAATAAAACTTATGTTTTACTATGTATGTTATAAAATGTAAAACAGTAAGAAAGTAGTGCATAGGAAGGTTAAATAATTTTTCTAAGAGAATAGATCTATCTAGTAAGTAAGAGAGCCAGTTTAACTTAGGTTACTGGGCTTCAGAGTGAACATGCTTATCTATTTTGGCATCTGTCTTTGAAATTCTCAAGAAAAATTATTTGACAAATAAAAAAATAAGCTAACCCTAGCAAATATTGAATCATTATTATTCTAATCAATGGAATCTCCTTTTATTATTAGATTACCTGAGGAGAGAAGATGATCAAAATGGAATGGAAAGGATCAAATAAAGAAGAGAGATATTTAATCTATATATTTAATTATATATACTTATTTATGATATTGTTCATTGTTTTATTTTACCACTTCACTATTCTGCAAAAAAAAACATAAATGCAAAATTTTTAATAATATGTTGCCAACCTATAAGACAAGTGAAATAAATGAGAAAAAACTTAAAGTATAATGGTAGAAATCTATGTTTGTAAATTTCAACAATCAATAAGAAGTAGAATTATTCAAGCAACAGAACTCCTTGTGATTACATGTTTCAAAAATAAAAAGATGATTTTGTTCCAATAAATATTCTAAATTACTACATATATTTGTCAATATATTGATGAGTTAATATTAAGATTAGTATAGATTTTAAATTTCTACATTTTTTCTCTTAACTATAAACAAAGTTCATTATCTTATGATGAATCTTTGTATTTACTTTCATTCAACACTGAAAATTCTAAAATAAAAAAAGATGAGAAAATCTTATTGAAGCATTTGGACATCCATGTTGTTATTATTAACATATATTTATATGTGTGTATATAAATCATATGTAATATATATCAAATTATTACACACATTGGTTTACTTTTTCAACACTATTTTAAATTAACTACATTTTTACTGTTTCTCTTTTTTTATTGCTTTTTCCTCATTTCCTACCTCTTATTAGAATATTTTTCATTTTGTCTGAAAACATCCTTTAGTATTGCCTTTAATGAATGCCTATTTATGAGAAATTTTTTCAGGTTTTTTTTTGTCTAAAAATACCTTGTTTTCTTGAATAATATTTTCATATTCTTGATTAGTGATTATTTTATTTTTGCATTTATGTATATCATTCCATTGAGTAGTATTGCTTGTTTTAAGATAATTTTTTAAAATAAAATTATCTCTTGTATGGTTTTTCGCATTTTTCTACCAACTGGTTTCTTTTTATATATGCTTCTTGTGATTCAAAGGACTTCTTAAGATGGTGGCTCCTAGGTTTTATCAATTATTTTTGGTTATATATACTGGTTATACTGAACTCTCAATTAAGGCAATCAATGCAACATCATTATTACCAAGTTTAAAATAATTTGTAACTGCTAAAGATACAAAATATGTATATAACAACTATTTAAATAAGAATTTTAAGCTTCAGAATGTTACGGATGAAATAGAGGAAATTATATTTACTTTTACAAACCAAATGTTCATATTGCTTATTAATCTTAATGTAAAAAATCTGTATTGTGCCTGATAAATGAGTCAATATGTGAATTTAAAGCAGAGGATGTGTTTTTAAATATGACTCTTTAAATTACTAAGAGGTAATGCATCACTATATTAACTTAAATAACATATAGCTCTAAATATTGTACTCAAATTCAGCATCTATCAGGATATAAAAATAGTGCTTGTGTTTATATAATGACAAATAGCACTTGGCAAAACAGAAATTTCAATTAACTAATTATTCTGTCAATGATCTAAATCTATTTTACTGAATATTTGATTAAAAGGCTAAATTAGCTTTACCAATAACCTCAGGTTATTTGGTAATTGTGTTTAGATTCTGTGATAGTTTATTCTATGCCTGATTTACCAGTCATAAATTATGTATAAAACTTTTATAGAGTTTTAGCTCCTTTTACTAAGATCATCTTCTTTGTGGTCTGCACATTAGTTTTGATGAGAAAATTTATAATTTAACATTCAGATTAGAGTCTTCATTCTGGAACAAGTATATTGGTTAGAAAATCACAAATCTGTATTTCAGTTTCGGTACACTTAAAATCATTAAAATAATCAACTTTAGGCAGTTAGTATATATCTCTAAGTCACTTAAGCAGAATACCATGAAATTGCATTTCTGCTACTTTGAAACACAAGTCTTTTAGAACTGATGTAAACAATATAAAAAGTAAAAAGTCTAATTAACTCATTTCTGACATTAGCTTACTCAGTATTCAGAGATATTGCTTATTCTGATGAAAGAGAACCTTTGAGTTATAAAAGAACATTCTGCTATCATAATCACAAATACAATTCCCAGGGTTGTTCCATTACAGCCAGGCAATTGGTTTTTTTGTTAGACTATGATATGAAATACGAGCGATATTTGAATACATTGGTCAAGTTCTTTTCAGTTTATACATAATCATAGATTCTTACAATTGACTGGGGCCTTACAGATTATACAATCTCTTCATTTTTCACATGAGAAAAATAAGAATACAGAAACAATAGCCATCCTATTTTTCTTTTTTACTAATATAACACCAACTTTATTTGCATGTCAACATACTACTTTAAAATATTCATATAATCATACTACTTTGTTGATACAGATATCACATTTATAGCTGATGATATGTTAGCAGATATCTAGTGGATAGAATTCCCGGATTGTTTCCTCATAAAAAGAATAGATTCAGCTGATTTTGCCTTTAGTCTTTTTCCTTTACTTTTTCCCACCTAGAGGTCACATGGCTTATTAGAAGTTGGACTAGCTGACTTGCAACCAGGGATATAACATGCACATGCTTAACGATGCTGGATTACAAAGAAATGTAATATCTACTTGATCAGTTGCAGTTTGGACTGCTTAGCTCTGGGCCTCTTTGTTATAATAAAAATATAATCTTATTAGGGAAACCACTGCAGCTAGCTTTCTTTTTTATGCAGCTACATTTATTTTTAACTAATATAGTCATACTAGTATAGTGGCATTGATAGAACTTGCACTTAGCACTAATAAGTCAATACAATACTGTTTCCACTAAACTATACTGTCTATAAGCATTCATGTTTTAGTGGTCACACATTTACATACCATTGATAGTAAAAACTAAAAGGATGAAAGAAGAAATCTTTACAAAGCAAAATTTAATTATAATTATGATATCATAACATAATTATAATCGTGATCTCTTATATCCTTCTTTTTTTTTTTGAGACAGAGTCTCATTCTGCTGCCCAGGGTGCAGTGGCTGCTCACTGCAACCTTGAAGTTCTGGGCTCAAGTGTTCCTCCAGCTTCAGTCTCCAGAGTAGCTGGGATTATACCACATCCAGCTAATTTATTTTTATTTTTTATAGAGACAGGGTCCTGCTATGTTGCCCAGGCTGATCTTGAACTCCTGGCTTCAAACAATCCTCCTGCTTTGGCCTCTCAAAGCACTAGGATTAAAGTCATGAATCACCCCACCCAGCCTTATATATGTTTTGAAGAAAACAGAAGAGAAGAAGTTGAGTTTTAGAATAGCTTTTCTGTGAACTATTATACAAATTCTTACTCCCCTGAGTAAATAATCATTATTTTCTATCAGATGATGCTTTCCTCTTTCTTCCCATTTATCTCCTTCCCCTAGATCAAGAACGCTGAAGTCACTCCAGCCTTTTCCTGCTCCTTAACTTCTCTGATGATTTAATTATTTTTCAACCCTTTTACTTATTTCCCTCAGCATTTTTCAAATGTATGGTATCCTCTTGACCATGCATAGTCAGGTCTTCATTGCTAATAAACTAAATCATTGCAATTTTATTATCTCTTGTCTTCTTGCTTTCCATATTTTCCTGATCTAATATATTCTGCATAATTTTGCAAATCAAAAACCTTTCTGAATGCTAACTCTGTCAACATGTCCACTTTATGTCACACTCAAAAATGCACACACACTACTGAAAATTAGAATCTAATATTGGTTTGTTTTTATAAGACTTACTATTTGACCACTTCAGACATATATATCTTACTATAATAATTTTCCATTCACCATCACTGATTTATTTACCATGATTATTTTTCACCCACTTTATAATCCATCCAAAGTAGACTCTTCCTCATTCTCTGCATATGGATTTGAATTTTCTACCTCTTTTTCTAGGCTTCCTCAATTTGTCTACATAAAAGTCTCTTTCATTTCCCTATGTTCAAACATATAATACCTCCTTCATAAAGCATTTCCTCATTTTCAAATATTTTGATTAAGAATAACATTCTTTCAATAGATTTTTTACAATATTAGTTTATTTTGTTTGCTCGTTTTACTTATTTATGAAACTAGTATTTTCCAACCTGTTTAAGGAGCACTCAGAAATCCATATTGCATGTAGCATTTCACAAGAAGATTTAGAAACCTGAGTAACTATCTTAAATAAATATTCTCTAAACTTATATTTTACAAAGATATATTGGCATCAACAGTACAGGGTACTTATCAGACAATAAATAATATCTAGAATACAGCTTGGTTTATAAGCGTCTTTAACAAAGAGATGCTTCTGCTCTCTGTGTTTGAAGTTAGGTTGCTTTGGGTTTCAGGAGTCTGAGAAAAGGCTAAGGGCCTTTGTAGATATAATTTCTACAAGTAATTTGTTTAGCTCTGCATTGAAGAAAGAATCAGATGAATTCTGCCATTCACTTGTTTTCTGTTTGGGAAAATGGTGACAATGGATGATGAACACAGAGGTAGCATGATAATGGAAGATTTCCACATCTTCTGGAGTGCTGCTGTTAAGAGAGACTCTTCTTTCACATCCTTCTTTTTACCTCCAATGACATGGTACTGAATGCTCTGTATTCACTTATCTTTAGAACATGAATAAAACCATATTGAGAAAAATGTTTTCAGAAATGGAGGCAAAACTTTTCATTAGTAAAGTTTGGCAATTCTTTTCTGTGCCTCATAATGTTTTGTGCATACCGTTGCATTTCTGTGTTGTTCAGCTCTGTGATTACCATATTTCATCAACTCTCAGCTAAATTCTTTTACATTTTTCTACTTGAGTTATTAAAATATGTCCTATAATCACAATTAGAAAGAAAGTTTCTTTACTACACTACATGAGAGCTACTCTATAATGCTGTTGTCATTGATTTCACCTAATTTAACTTACCTATCAAAGATATTTACATGGGGCGGTTCCAAGATGGCCAAATAGGAACAGCTCCAGTCTACAGCTCACAGCATGAGTGACGCAGAAGATGGGTGATTTCTGCATTTCCAACTGAGGTACCAGGTTCATCTCACTGGGGCTTGTCAGACAGTGGGTGCAGGACAGTGGGTGCAGCCCAACAAGCGTGAGACAAAGCAGGGCCAGGCATTGCCTTACCCGGGAAGCACAAGGGGTCAGGGAATTCCCTTTCCTAGCCAAGGGAAGCTGTGACAGACAGGACCTGGAAAATCGGGTCACACCCACCCTAATACTGCACTTTTCCAATGGTCTTAGCAAACGGAGCACCAGGAGGTTATATCCCGCGCATGGCTCGGAGGGTCCCACAGCCATGGAGCCTCACTCATTGCTACCACAGCAGCATGAGATCGAACTGCAAGGCAACAGCGAGGCTGGGGAGGGGTGCCCGCCATTGGTGAGGCTTCAGTACATAAACAAAGTGGCCAGGAAGCTTGAACTGGGTGGAGCCCACCACAACTCAAGGAGGCCTGCCTGCCTCTGTAGACTCCACCTCTGCGGGCAGGGCATAGACGAACAAAAGGCAGCAGAAACCTCTGCAGACTTAAATGTCCCTGTCTGACAGCTTTGAAGAGAGTAGTGGTTCTCCCAGCACGCAGCTGGAGATCTGAGAACGCACAGAAGGGACCCTCCTCAGGTGGGTCCCTGACCCCCGAGTAGCCTAACTGGGAGGCACCCCCCAGTAGGGGCAGACTGACACCTCACACGGCCGGGTACTCCTCTGAGACAAAACTTCCAGAGGAAGGATCAGGCAGCAACATTTGCTGTTCACCAATATCTGCTGTTCTGCAGCCTCTGCTGCTGATACCCAGGCAAACAGGGTCTGGAGTGGACCTCCAACAAACTCCAACAGACCTGCAGCTGAGGGTCCTGACTGTTAGAAGGAAAACTAACAAACAGAAAGGACATCCACACCAAAATCCCATCTGTATGTCACCATCATCAAAGACCACAGGTAGATGAAACAACAAAGATGGGGAAAAAACAGGGCAGAAAAGCTGAAAATTCTAAAAATCAGAGTGCCTCTCCCCCTCCAAAGGAATGCAGCTCCTCGCCAGCAACAGAACAAAGCAGGACGGAGAATGACTTTGATGAGTTGAGAGAACAAGGCTTCAGATGATCAAACTTCTCTGCGCTAAAGGAGGAAGTTCAAATCCATCACAGAGAAGCTAAAAACCTTGAAAAAATATTAGACGAATGGCTAACTAGAATAACCAGTGTAGAAAAGTTCTTAAATGACCTGATGGAGCTGAAAACCACAGCACGAGAACTACGTGACGAATGCATAAGCTTCAGTAGCCGATTCGATCAACTGGAAGAAAGGGTATCAGTGATTGAAGATCAAATGGATGAAATGAAGCGAGAAGAGAAGTTTAGAGAAAAAAGAGTAAAAACAAATGAACAAAGCCTCCAGGAAATATGGGGCTATGTGAAAAGACCAAATCTACACCTGATTGGTGTACCTGAAAGTGACGGGGAGAATGGAACCAAATTGGAAAACACTCTGCAGGATATTATCCAAGAGAACTTCCCCAACCTAGCAAGGCAAGCCAACAGTCAAATTCAGGATATACAGAGAATGCCAAAAAGATACCCCTCACGAAGGGCAACTCCAAGACACATAATTGTCAGATTCACCAAAGTTGAAATGAAGGAAAAAATGTTAAGGGCAGCCAGAGAGAAAGGTCAGGTTACCCGCAAATGGAAGCCAATCAGACTAACAGCGGATCCTTCTGGAGAAACTGCAAGCTAGAAGAGAGTGGGGGCCAATATTCAACATTCTTAAAGAAAATAATTTTCAACCCAGAATTTCATATCCAGCCAAACTAAGCTTCAAAAATGAAGGAGAAATAAAAGCCTTTACAGACAAGCAAATGCTGAGAGATTTTGTCACCACCAGGCCAGCCCTACAAGAGCTCCTGAAGGAAGCACTAAACATAGAAAGGAACAACTGGTACCAGTCACTGCAAAAACATGCCAAAAAGTAAAGACCTTCGATGCTAGGAAGAAACTGCATCAACTAATGAGCAAAATAACCAGCTAACATCATAATGAAAGGATCAAATTCACACATAACAATATTAACCTTAAATGTAAATGGGCTAAATGCTCCAACTAAAAGACACAGACTGGCAAATCGGATAAACAGTCAAGACCCATCAGTGTGCTGTATTCAGGAAACCCATCTTACGTGCAGAGACACACATAGGCTCAAAATAAAGGGATGGAGGAAGAACTACCAAGCAAATGGAAAACAAAAAAAGGCAGGGGTTGCAATCCTAGTCTCTGATAAAACAGACTTTAAACCAGCAAAGATCAAAAGAAACAAAGAAGGCCATTACATAATGGTAAAGGGATCAATTCATCAAGAAGAGCTAACTATCATAAATATATATGCACCCAATATAGGAGCACCTAGATTCATAAAGCAAGTCCTTAGAGACCTAAAAAGAGACTTAGGCTCCCACACAATAATACTGGGAGACTTTAACACACCACTGTCAACATTAGACAGATCAATGAGATACAAGGTTAACAAGGATATCCAGGAATTGAACTCAGTTCTGCACCAAGCAGACCTAATAGACATCTACAGAACTCTCCACCCCAAATCAACAGAATATATATTCTTCCCAGCACCACATTGAACTTATTCCAAAATTGACCACATAGTGGGAAGTAAAACACTCCTCAGCAAATGTAAAAGAACAGAAATTATAACAAACTGTCTCTCAGACCACAGTGCAATCAAACTAGAACTCAGGATTAAGAAACTCACTCAAAACCGCTCAACTACATGGAAACTGAAAAACCTGCTCCTGAATGACTACTGGGTACATAAAGAAATGAAGACAGAAATAAAGATTTTCTCTGAAACCAATGAGAACAAAGACACAACTTACCAGAATCTCTGGGACACATTTAAAGCAGTGTGTACAGGGAAATTTATAGCACTAAATGCCCACAAGAGAAAGCAGGAAAGATCTAAAATTGACACCGTAACATCACAATTAAAAGAAGTAAAGAAGCAAGAGCAAACACATTCAAAAGCTAGCAGAAGGCAAGAAATAACTAAGATCAGAGCAGAACTGAAGGAGGTAGAGACATAAGAAACCCTTCAAAAAATCAATGAATCCAGGAGCTGGTTTTGTGAATAGAGCAACAAAATTGATAGACCACTAGCAAGACTAATAAAGAAAAAAAGAGAGAAGAATCAAATAGACACAACAAAAAATGATAAAGGGGATATCACCACCGATCCCACAGAAATACAAACTACCATCTGAGAATATTATAAACACCTCTACACAAATAAACTAGAAAATCTAAAAGAAATGGATAAGTTCCTGGACACATACACCCTCCCAAGACTAAACCAGGAAGAAGTAGAATCCCTGAATAGACCAATAACAGGCTCTGAAATTGAGGCAATAATTAATAGCCTACCAACCAAAAAAAGTCCAGGACCAGATGGATTTACCACCAAATTCTACCAGAGGTACAAGGAGGAGCTGGTACCATTCCTTCTGAAACTATTCCAATCAATAGAAAAAGAGGGAATCCTCCCTAACTCATTTTATGAGGCCAGCATCATCCTGATACCAAAGCCTGGCAGAGACACAACAAAAAAAAGAGAATTTTAGACCAATATCCCTGATGAACATGGATGCAAAAATCCTCAATAAAATACTGGCAAACCGAATCCAGCAGCACATCAAAAAGCTTATCCACCATGACCAAGTGGGCTTCATCCCTGGGATGCAAGGCTGGATCAACATATGCAAATCAATAAATGTAATCCAGCATATAAACAGAACCAAAGACAAAAACCATGTGATTATCTCAATAGATGCAGAAAAGGCCTTTGACAAAATTCAACATCCCTTCATGCTAAAAACTCTCAATAAATTAGGTATTGATGGGACGTATCTCAAAATAATAAGAGCAATTTATGACAAACCCACAGCCAATATCATACTGAATGGGCAAAAACTGGAAGCATTCCCTTTGAAAACCGGCACAAGACAGGGATGCCCTCTCTCACCACTCCTGTTCAACACAGTGTTGGAAGTTCTGGCCAGGGCAATCAGGCAGGAGAAAGAAATAAAGGGTATTCAATTAGGAAAAGAGGGAGTCAAATTGTCCCTGTTTGCAGATGACATGATTGTATATCTAGAAAACCCCATCATCTCAGCCCAAAATCTCCTTAAGCTGATAAGCAACTTCAGCGAAGTCTCAGGATACAAAATCAATGTGCAAAAATCACAAGCATTCTTATACACCAATAACAGACAAACAGAGAGCCAAATCATGAGTGAACTCCCATTCACAATTGCTTCAAAGAGAATAAAATACCTAGGAATCCAACTTACAAGGGATATGAAGGACCTAGGCATGGGCAAGGACTTCATGTCTAAAACACAATACCATTCAGGACATAGGCATGGGCAAGGACTTCATGTCTAAAACACTAAAAGCAATGGCAACAAAAGCCAAAATTGACAAATGGAATCTAATTAAACTAAAGAGCTTCTGCACAGCAAAAGAAACTACCATCAGAGTGAACAGGCAACCTTCAGAATGGGAGAAAATTTTTACAATCTACTCATCTGACAAAGGGCTAATATCCAGAATCTACAAAGAACACAAACAAATTTACAAGAAAAAAACAACCCCATCAAAAAGTGGGTGAAGGATATGAACAGACACTTCTCAAAAGAAGACATTTATGCAGCCAGCACACACAGGGAAAAATGCTCATCATTACTGGCCATCAGAGAAAAGCAAATCAAAACCACAATGGGATACCATCTCACACCAGTTAGAATGACTATCATTAAAAAGTCAGGAAACAACAGGTGCTGGAGAGGATGTGGAGAAATAGGAACACTTACACTGTTGGTGGGACTGTAAACTAGTTCAACCATTGTGAAAGACAGTGTGGCGATTCCTCAAGGATCTAGAACTAGAAATACCATTTGACCTAGCCATCCCATTACTGGGTATATACCCAAAGGATTATAAATCATGCTGCTATAAAGACACATGCACATGTATGTTTATTGCAGCACTATTCACAATAGCAAAGACTTGGAACCAACCCAAATGTCCATCAATGATAGACTGGATTAAGAAAATGTGGCACATATACACCATGGAATACTATGCAGCCATAAAAAATGATGAGTTCATGTCCTTTGTAGGGACTTGGATGAAGCTGGAAACCATCATGCTCAGCAAACTATCGCAAGGACAAAAAACCAAACACCACATGTTCTCACTCATAGGTGGGAACTGAACAATGAGAATGCCTGGAAACAGGAAGGGGAACATCACACACCAGGGCCTGTTTTGGGGTGGGGGGATGGGGGAGGGATAGCATTAGGAGACACACCTAATGTAAATGACAAGTTAGTGGGTGCAACACACCAACATGGCACATGTATACATATGTAACAAACCAGCACGTTGTGTACATGTACCCTAGAACTTAAAGTAAAATTTAAAAAAATTAAAAAATTAAAAATAAATAGAAATTAGCTTTTTTCTAAAAAAAAAAAAAAGAAATTTACACTTATCTGATTATCACCTCACTTGAACTATTTCTATGTTTACCACCAAATGGAGTATAGTGTTAATTTAAATGTGAATTTCTACTTGTACCATAAAATGCTTTTTCAAAGATGATTAAGATGAGAAATTAATTTGTATTATATGCTTAGAACATTATTCAGTTGTTAGGAATACAACTGATAGCAAATAAATTGCCAACTCTCCTTAAATAAAATAATAAAATTTTTAGAGTTAGGAGAGTTAGGTATAACTATTTCATGAATCAAGAAGGAATGCCATTGAAGCACCAAACTGTTAAATGTCTCCAGGAGATAAAGACCTTAGAGAAATACTACTTATCATAGCCATTTATAATACTATCAATCCTAAAAGTTTAAAAGAAGCCAAGTGAAATATTTTTTACTAATAGCAGAATAATGATGCCCTAAATTCTTACCAATCGCCAAACATAGACTCTAAATATGCAGAGATCTAGATTTGAATTTTGATTGGAATACAGGGTAAAAGGAGTATATATTTGCATGAATAAATAAATGCTGTTTTCAGGTAATTTTCTTAAAATGCATATCTTATACAGTGTTTCTTCTCTACCCTTAATCTGAATTAAATCAATGCCGAATCTTAGAATAAAGATTATTTGATATTAAACTGGATTTAATGTATTCAAGGACAGATAATATATCTTGTTCATGTATATATGTCAAGGCCTATTATAAATTTTGGTGCCCAAAACATGAAAAACAAATGGTTTTTGGTTTCTTTTGGTTAGTTTATTTTAGAGACAATGTCTTGCTCTGTCACCCAGGCTGGAGTGCAGTGTCACGTTCATACCTCAATGCAGCCTTGAACTCCGGACTGTAGAGTTCCTCCCACCTTAGCCTCCCAAGTAGCCGAGACTGTAGTCTCAAGCCACCATGCCCAGCCAATTTTTAAATTTTTTTGTAGAGACAGAGTCTTGCTATATTGCCCAGGCTTTTCTCGAACTCCTGGCCTCAAGAGATCCTCCTGCTTCAGCCTCCCAAGGTGTTGGCATTACAGGTGTGAGCCACCATGCCTAGCCACAAATGCTTTTTGAAAAAATATTAATGTAGGAGAAAAACATAGTTTTTTTTTTTTAATGAAAAAAGTGTTATGGACCCATCCCAACATTGTTTTTATTTGTTCTTTATTTTTTTTGGTGTTTGGAATTCCCATTAAAGCACTTGGTATGTTTATCTTCATTTCTGCTTGCTTCGTAAGGTATTTTAATTTTTTTTTTTTTTTTTTTTTTTTGAGATGGAGTTTCACTCTTGTTGCCAAGGCTGGAGTGCAATGGTGCGATCTCGGCTCACAGCAACCTCTGCCTCCTGGGTTCAAGCCATTATCCTGCCTCAGCCTCCAGAGTAGCTGGGATTACAGGCATGCACCACCACGCCTGGCTAATTTTGTACTTTTAGTGGAGATGGGGTTTCACCATGTTGGCCAGGATGGTCTCCATCTCTTGACCTCGTGATCCACCCTCCTCGGCCTCCCAAAGTGCTGGGATTACAGGCGTGAGCCACGGCACCCAGCCAGTATTTTAATTCTTAATAAGTAATTCACATTACTGTTCTATATAGTCAATTTTACTTAGAGTTAACAACACTTTTATCTATTTCAGTGTTCTTTTTTCCATCCTTCATTACTGAAAATCCAGTTAGGACACTTTCTCTTCTGCCTCCATAACTTCCTTTATTATTTCTCTTAGTGCAAGCAGGCTACCTATACATTCTCTTTTTGTTTCAATTTTAATTCATATTCAGGTTTAAATATATTTTAGGTGGATATCAAATTATAAATTAGCATTTATTTCTTTAAAGTATCTTAAATATATTACTTATTATCTACTGGTTTTCATCATTTCTATTTAAAAACAGATACCATTATTATTCCTGCTCATTTGAAGATAATGGATCTATTTTTCTCTGATTGCTTTTAACCATTTTCTATTTGTTTGAATATCAGTAATTTTACTAGAGTTTGCCTCAGTTTGATCTTTTTGTATTAATTCTTCCTGTTTTTGTAGTTTCGTTTTATTTCAATATTAGATCTTGAACAGTGTCTTCAAATAGAATTTACTGCCTCCTTTTTTTTCCTCTTCTTCTGGGACTCCAATTGGAATCCTATAATTCTTCATTCTGTCCCATGAATATTTTATATTCTTCCCTATATTTTATTCATTTTCACTTCATGTATTCGTCTGTGTGTGTATATATATATACACACACACATATATACTGACTTATCTTTCATTCCATTAATATTTTATTCAGCTGTGTCTAGTAATAACTCCTCATGAGTCTCAGTTGAAATCCTGGAGTATTTTCCAGGGCTCTTCCTCTTAGTTAGGACCTAAATAACATTTTTTTTCTCTCTCTTTCAGTACTGTAAGACTGCCCTGCTATCAATTTAGCTTCTTAGTTCTCACTTTCAGCTTGCTTGCCTAGCTTCTCACACCCTGCAGATTAGACATTAAGAACCACTATGCAAGCAAAGAATCACATGGTGTCAGGTCCACCTTTTCTGTTGATGCCTTGGCTCTGAGATCTTCATATTTTAATTCCAAGCTATTGTGGTAGCCTTGAACTCTTAATTTTTGTTTCCACAGTTCTGAGCCACTTCAAAAAGCTCTGAGCCTCTCCATTTTACTTGGCTTATGGGCCCTGTGCTACTGACAAGCTGGCAAATGCCTCCAGAACAGAACTGGCAAACAGGGCTGAAGTCCTTTCATTTTGTTTTTCTTCTTTGGGGAATTTAAGGCTTTGAAGTCCTGACTGCCTAAGTTGCTTTCCAATATCTTCAAACAGCAGTTTTCATTTTTATTCCAGGTTTTATGTTTTCTCATGTTGAGAAATGTCTGATATAAGCTATTCTACCATAACCAGAAAATGAAATCCCTGTAGTTTCCAATTGAGTTTTTAAAAGGTGAGTGGAAATAATCAACAATGACACTCAATTTAAGAGAAACATTTTTAACATTATGGTATATACAACTAACTCTGCAGAGCTTCAGGAAAATAAAAACATGTGCTTTTGTGACACATATCGCTTTTATAATTAACAATAAGGCTTATGTTCTGCTGTACGGATAAAATCATTATAATGTGTAATGAGGAAAGGATACACATCACTAGAATAAATCAATGTTTTTTAAAATTCCTAAATCTATTTAAAGAGTTCAATAGTTTCAGTGACCTAAGTTTATTGATAAGCTAATTGCCATCTTGATGTGATCAAGTAAGATATATTTTTTAAATGCCATCAAACACTGATATTTCCATGTAATATTCCCTCAATTATGTTATGGTCTTTGCTTTCTCATAATATTTGATTAGGTCTTTGTATTTCAGATTCACCCTTCACCCCGCGATGCTTAAGCTTACCTCAGCTAAAATCAGAAACACTGTGACATGCTTTGCTCATTCTGGATGAATATAGGTAAGTTTTTGCCTTTATATTTCAACCTTTAGTTTGCATTTTGCTGATAGCTTGCACTCTGCAAGATGGTACAATTTTTTTATTTATTCTGCTGAGAGGCACATTGTATGAAAATGGATAAGGTTCAAGCATCAAGTCTCGTTTTGTTATTCTAATCCTAGCAAGATCCCCCTTTAACTTCTTAGAGAAATGCCAGTTTGAGGGGTCAACATTATAAGGCTCATTTCCTTTTGGTATGGCATAGTCCAAAACAACAATTATTGCCAATCTTCTTCAGCGATGCAAATTTAGTGCTGAATATATATTTTAAATTAGTGAAAATAGAAATTACCATAATTTCTATTACTTGAGCTATGTGACCCATGTAAAATAGTTTTCTATAAAAATAATACTTATTTGATGAGCTTTTATTTATTTTGTAAGCTTATCAGCAGGGAGTTTTAAAATCTATTTAAACTTACACTAAAATAAGTATGTTAATATGGATATTAAATCATATGGTTAAAAATTCAAAATATATTAAAAGAAGTCTTGAAATTAGGGATGTTGGAAAGTTAAGGATGTGTTTGAGCCAGTCACAGTGGCTCACATCTATAATCACAGGAAAGATTGGAAGATCATTTGAAGCTAGTTGAAAACCATCCTGGACAATATAGCAAGAGCCTATCTCAAAAAAAAAAAAAAAAATAGCTAAGTGTGGTAGTACATGTCTGTAGCCTTGGGAGGCTGAGGCAGGAGGATTCCTTGAGCCCAGGAGTTCAAGGCTGCAGTGAGCTATGATAGATGGCACCACCACACTCCAGCCTGGGCAAAAGAACAAGATCCTATCTTTAAAATAATTAAAAAATAGCATTTGACTTTCATGTTTTATACACCAAGATTTATAGTAGGCCTGGATGACAGAGAAAACCTTATCTCTAAATAAAAAGAATGAGTTTGTAGTTTGTAATATCACTTAAATGAGTAGACCTATACAAAAGGAAAAGAGGATGTGTATAATCATTTAATAAAAATATTGAAGCTATTTATTTGAAAAATATAAAAATTAGAGTAGTTATAAGTTATATAATTGGAGTAGTTATAAGTTATATAAGATGAAATATGAAAGATGCATGAGGTTTCTATGAGATTGTGAAATGCCTGTCAAAAACCTTAACTTCGACACTATTTTCTTCATTGTTCAGTCCAGAAAGGAAAAATGGATTTCCTCCTGGATACTTAGGAGAAAAATTGCTTTAAGAAAATATATCCTGGATATAATTTTGACAAATTGATTCTCTAAGCGATAAATCTTTGTTATTTAAAATACTAGCATGCCTCAACAAAGTTGAAGTAGGTCAGAATAACATCAATTTCTTGTATTTCTTAATACATAATACTTTCCAATTAATACATATTTTCACCTACAATATTTTATTCTTATGGCAATCATGTGCTATATTAAAATTGCGATTTTATAGGTCACTTTTATTGCCTAACATTACATGGACAATAGAGAGCACAGTCTAGACCTGAATCCATATTAACTAGCTTATTTTGCACTTCATCACAATTAACACAATTAACTAAAAGCTAATTGAAGCCTGAACATCCACAGTTTGGGAACTGGACAATGAGTATGTGTGTGTGTGTGTGTGTGTGTGTGTGTGTGTACACACACACATATATATACACATATATATATACACATACACATATGTATACATATGTATATATACACACATACACATATGTATACATACGTATATATACACACAGACACATATGTATACATATGTATATATACACATATGTATACATATGTATATATACACACAGACACATATGTATACATATGTATATATACACATATGTATTTATATGAACTTTGATGCATACGATTATAGAGTGATCATGAATAGTTTTCTTCTTTGCAGCCCCATATGACCTTCCTCTTATAATAATTCCTATATATGTTATCTTACATGGCTAATTCTGTTCTCAAGTGGAGGGCAGAGCAGGGACTACTAACCTACATGTTGATATGGAGGATCAACATGCTTCCAAGCACCTGTTTACATTTTCATTCTCTACTCCACTTCCTTTCCCATATATAAATTTATTTAGATGAAAATAAAACTATTTTATAGTAAGAGATAAGTCTTTACAATTCTGGTAGACTACAACAGCTTTGGTTGTCTTGTTTGCCATATGGAAATTATGTTCCTAGAGCACATTTTTAATTCCTGAGTCCTTTACTTAAAATCTTTATCATCTCAATTGTCTATTAAATAAGATCTATCACATTATTTAGAGGTCCTCAAAAAGCAAATAGCAATGTAACAGCAAATGGGGACTTTTTAGTCACTCCCTTCCATTTCCTCCTGTTGCTTTGACCATGGTTTTCCCTCTGTATGACACATCCAACTGCATGTTATGTCATATGTGTTCCATGAACCATCTCTCCACTCGTATCACCTTCTCTGACCTACTTTTAGATTTTTTTTTATAATACTTATCACCTAATGTGACAAATACATTTTCACATGTAACTGCCTTGGGATCATGAATAATTGTCCTTATGCATTTATTACTCTCTGCCAGTTAAGGATTTATTGGCTCTCACTTCTAAATTCAAAATTTTTGCTTGCTCTATAAACATGAATCTTTGTACTTTAAATATTTTTGCTTTACAAGCTGAAAATGATGTTGAGATTTATCAGTAGAGGGTGCTGGAGAGACATTGCAGAAGGAAAGAGTTTTGCCTTCTCATTCCAGTGTCCTCTCCTAGCAGCCTCCTACAGTATATACAGTTTCTCTCGCACCTGGCAGGTGCAGTGCTTGCAGCTTCTCCAGTTCCCATCTGCTGCAGTACATAAAAGCCAGCAGCACTCAAGGGCCAACAGCTTCTACCTCACATCCTCTTCTGGAGTGGTTTTGGAGTAGAATGTTTCCAGTGTGATACCTTCTAGGAAATAACTTTCCCCTCTATCCTAGTGGGTTGATACGGGCAAGCTCAAGATAATAGCTTCAGCAAGTTTTGCATTATCTGCCACTCATTTCTTTGCCATTAACTTAGCCATAGCTGTGTCCTCCCATATGGTCTGTATTTTCTTGGGTGCTCTATTTTAGCCATAGAAACAGTGGCTATTCTTTTATATACTCTATCAATATTCTTTAGTGTTTCTCTACTTCTTACAAGGCTATGCCTCATTACTTCAACTCCTTTGTATAGCTAATATTTCTTCACAATAAACTTTTCTTGTTCAAATTACTGGGTGGTTTCTCTGTCATGATTGGACTCAGACTGATGTGATCCCTTAACCATCAATATTCTAAGAATACTTGCTGATTACATTGATTTTACTTAATTCATAATACAGTATAAATGATTCAACTCAAGGCTCTTCTCATAGAGTTCATTTAGGTGAAAGTGACTAAGGAAAATAAAATTACTGAATATTTTCCACTGGTGGACAGGGGTTGTAAGGGGGACAGCACATAAATAACAGAATATGTGTAACATGAGAGTCTCTCAAATTAAAATGACAAATTTAACAATGTTTACTCTGGTAGCTCTTTCAAAGATGATAATTCTTACTTATGGTAGCGAATGGGTAATTTCTACTTATTTGTCAGGTGAATATGTACTTTTTATCCAGTTAACCATTACAATATTCCTGACCATTAAAGATATTGTCAAGGTAGGATTTTGATCAGATGAGAAGTTTTATATATATATTTGAAATTTAAAATTTAAAATCTCAAATCAAATTTAACTCTTCAGTAAAAATTTGACTTAATTTTTTACACATGCTGTTGGTGCATTATTAATTCTGGCTGAATGTGCCGTAATTCATCATGAAAGAATTACTTGGAGACATAAAAAATGCATTAAAGAGCAGCTGCTATATTGCTGAAAGCAATGCATCAGGGCACACACATGTTAGTATGAAATATAGAACTGATTAATTGTATATTCTTGTTATAGTAATTTCATAATGTTATGATAATTGCCATCAATTCAAGAGCAGACTGTGGGATTTCCTTTATGCAATAAACTTTTCAATATAAGCAAACAATAATTAAGTTATTAACAGATATTTCATTTATTGCAGTTTGGGAAATCTCAAATTATAAGTAATATATTAAAGTTACCAATACTAGTAAAAGCCCAAGTCCACCTCTCACGATTTAAGTAAATTATGTGAAAATAATTGAAGGACCAAAGGTTTCGATATTTTAAATATCTTAATATTTGAATCATTTTACTTTTAAAATTTTATTATATCTACATAACTGTTATTACATATAATTAATTCTCATTTTGCAGATTGTACTTTCATGGTACTGCTCAAATGCTGTCTCTAATGATAAAAAATGATGGCTATGTGAATAATGAATGTAACTGAAGGCAATTCTGTGAAATATTCTTGACCATCCTGTATTTACTGGATAATTTTTTAAGTGAAAATTTGAAGAATGAGAAAAAAACTCATGATAAAGTAAAACAGCATGAACTTTCTTATTACTCAATATTTAACAAATATGTGTCTGTTTCTTACTTTGTTCCAGGTACCATGCCAGGATTATGTGGTAATAAAAATAAAAATTGCTCCCTAATTCAAATAACTTTAAGTCAAACAGATTACAATATAGAAACTTATGTTACCCATGAATTTACTGGAGATACTACTAATTAAAATCCTCAATTTGTTTAGTAAATTACCTATAGATTAATATTTTATTAGCATTTAGTTTAATTAACTATTTTAGATGCTGGCAAAATATGATTCCACTTAACTAGCCAAACTAAAATGTAAGGAGAGACTCATTATCCTTATCTGATAAAAAAAAATTATGTTTATGTTAGCCAAGGTAATTAATAACTGGAAGATAGCTCACAAGTTAAATTTAAGAGCTAAGGATTATATTTAGATATTTAGTTATTCCGACATTACACCAATGGTCCTTTTACTGGGTAAAATTTACTGGGTAGTTACACTACCTCAATTCTCTTTAAATTTTCAGGCATGATTCCTGTAATTGTTTCTCTCTCTTGATTTCATATAACTTCTAGTAGAGTATGAAACAATAAAAATTTTGAGATTTTGGTTCAAAGTTTAATCATTCATTATTTTTTAGAACAGTGTTATTTTTCTTCCTTCTTTTCTTTGATTCAATAAATACTAATTAATATTTAACCTTTTACCCATTACTCATGCCCTCTTTAACAATAATAACATCAAATTTGCACCCTGAGATGGGATGGGGTGATTCACGTGTCAAAGGAAAACTGAAAATTTTGAGCCATGGATACCTTTACCTAGGTTTTGAAGGATGGAGCTGCCTGGAGACTGAAGCATGAGATCCAGGAAGAGGGCTGCTACAAAAGTGGAAGCACTGCAGAAAAACCACAGTCGGGTAATGCTTAGTGGAACCGTGGGGGTGGGGCCACCCTCAGAACTCCACACTGATGGAGCCACTTGGAAGCAACTCCATCCATTTTAGGAGGACTGAAGGCAATTGACTCCAACCTATGAAAGTGTGGCACGGGCTGAGACCAGCAACGTCATGGGTGTGGGGCTGCCTAGAGTCATGGGGACCCAATCCCTACTCCAGCATGTCCAAAAGGTGAGACACTTAGTCAAAGATTATTCTAGAGTCTTAATAGTTATTTTTTTCCCCTATTAAGTTTTAGACTTACTTGGAACCTACTATTCCTGTCAGCTTTTATATTTCTCCCTTTTGGAATGAAAAGGTCTATCCTATGCCTATCCTACCATTGTATTTTGAAAATGTATAAATTGTTTGATTTCACAGACCCACAGCTGGAAGAAAATTTGACTCAGACTAAATTGTATTGAGTTTCACTCATATTTGATTTTGATGATATTCAGATGAGAATGGACTTTAAATTTTTGAGTTAATGCTAAAATGAGGTAATATTTCTGGGGCTACTGGGATGAAATGAATTTATTTTGCATGTGAGAATGACATGAATTTTGGGGGGAAGGAGAGAAATGCTCTGATCTAGATGTTGTGTCCATTCAAATTTATATGTAAAAGCCTAACCCCAGGGTGATGATTTAAGCAGTGGGGCTTTTGGGAGGTGATTAGGTAATAAGGACTCCATGCTCATGAATGGAATTAGTGCCCTTATAAAAGAGGCCTGAGGGAGCTTATTGACTCTTTTTGCCATGTGAGGACACAGCTGGAAGGCATCATCTTTGCAGCAAAAAGTAAGCCCTTACTAGACACCGAATCTACTGGTACCTTATCTTGGATGCTCTAGCCTCCAGAACTCTGAGCAGTCAATTTCTGTTTAGAAATTACCCAGTCTAAGATATTTTGTTATACCAGCAAGAATGGACTGAGATAGGAGCATAATGGGTAATTAGCTTAAGATTCGGTTACTTTTATTTTATAAAAGGCTCTTAAATAATCAGATAGTGGACGAAATATTTATAAATATTCATTTCTAATACCCTCAACTAAGTGTCAAATACGAATGGCTTTTTTGTAGTTAGAAAAAAATTCCAATTGAGGACTTTGTATTAACTATCAAAGTTGAGTTCAACTGCCTTTTAATTAGCAAATGTTGCATGTGATGAAATACCAAAATAACATTGCTTTTTTTCAGAGAAACCATTGTTATTTTAGTTTTATGTGCAAATGAATGTATAATTTTAAAGGATATTAAAGGATAAATTACTTTGAAGCTTTTCTTTTAATTAAAGATTAAAATAGCATATATGGTTTAAAACAAAACAAAAATATTCCAGTTATGAATTTGACAACCAGGTAAAAATCTAAATTAATAATATCAGGGTGAGTGCAGTGGCTCATGCCCGTAATTCCAGCAATTTGGGAGGCTGAGGCGGGTGAATCATCTCAGGTCAGGGGCTCGAGACCGGCCTGGCCAACATGGCAAAACCCAGTCTCTACTAAAAAAAAAAAAAAATAGAAAAATTGGCCAGCATGGTGGCAAGTGCCTGCAGTCCCAGCTATTCAGGAGTCTGAGGCAGGAGAATCCCTTGAACCCAGGAGGTGGGGGTTGCAGTGAGCTGAGATCGCGCCACTGCACTCCTGCCTGGGTGACAGAGTGAGACTCCATCTCAAAAATATATACATAAATAAATAAAAATAGAATAAGTAACATCAGAGAAAAAAATTATTGTGCTATTTGCATTTCATGTATATTTGGAAGCAGTAAAATAATTCTGAGGGACAGTCAAACATTAGCAGGTTCTTTATAAGAATATAGATCTTTCTAAATCAAACTCATAATTTTGAACTTATGAAAAAATGTAAACAAATTAATATTTTAATACAATTGTTTACCTTTTATATTTTTGGTCTTCAGAGCATGATATATATTATATATGTGTTGATATACAATATATATGATATATATGACATATTATATATGTATACTTGAGGTAAAAAACAAAACTAGCAACTGACTTTTTTTTTTCTTTGAGATGGAGTTTCAAAAAAGGTGATTCTCCTGCCTCAGCCTCCTGAGTAGCTGGGATTACAGGCACCTGCCACTATGCCTGGCTAATTTTTCTTTTTTTGTAGTTTTACTATAGACTGTTTTTCGCCATGTTGGCCAGGCTGGACTTGAACCCCTGACCTCAGGTGATCCGCTCACCTTGGCCTCCCAAACTGCTGGGACTACAGGCGTCAGCCACCGTGCCCAGGTGCAACTGACTTTTTATATTATCTTATTATTAGAGAGTTCTTTTTACAGGAGCTCTAAACAAATACTCAAAAACAGACTTGAAATAGTTTAATGAGAAGAAATAATTGGGTCAAAATTTCTTTGTTTAATTAGTCTATATCTACGTTAATGTTCTCTTTCTTTAATCACATATTTTTATGTTTTTTTTCTTTTGCAGTAAAACCAGTAGAAAATAAGACTGTTTTTGTCAAATTGGTGTAATTTTTTAAATTTTATTATTATTATACTGGAGAGGATGTGGAGAAATAGGAACACTTTTACACTGTTGGTTGGACTGTAAACTAGTTCAACCATTGTGGAAGTCAGTGTGGAGATTCCTCAGGGATCTAGAACTAGAAATACCATTTGACCCAGCCATCCCATTACTGGGTATATACCCAAAGGATTATTAATCATGCTGCTATAAAGACACATGCACATGTATGTTTATTGCAGCACTATTCACAATAGCAAAGACTTGGAACCAACCCAAATGTCCAACAATGATAGACTGGATTAAGAAAATTGGTGTAATTTTTAAAAACTTTCAAATCATGAGTTGGATATGCATTACACACAAAAATAAAAATAATATATCTCAAAAATATATTTTTTCAAATCCTAAAGTCATGTGTGAAAGCGCTATGTAAACGGAACAAAAATGTATATATGCTGAATTATTGCATGCTAAAAGACCCTGGTATACTCTTGTTTTGTTAAAACGTATGTATTTCTGGGTCTATGTGGCCAAAAGAGCAAAACAACTTTACTTTATCCACTCTAATTCATAGATATTATTGATGAAATATTAACTACACCATTTAAACATTTTTTAAAAAAGATTTTAAATGCCAAAAGTAAAAAGATAAATGCCAAAAGTAAAAAGATAAATACCAAAAAAAGCAAGGTAGCAAAAAGCTTAATCCACTTGGAGTCTGGGACTTATAGAAGAAGCACATATGAGGTTGGGGTGTGGTAGGGAAAAGAGACTCCCTGCATAATCTCTAGAATCCAGGAAAACACCAGTGCCCACACATTACCTTAGCAGAATTACCTTTGCTCATCAACTTGAGAAAAAGCCATAAGTGGTTCACTTTGAATGTACAGAAGCCTAAAGTAAATGCACTCACAATTAGGATTTGATCTGCCTCATTTGTGGTTGCAAGATTAAGACTGCTTACCTGCAGAGGATAAGGTCCTGGAACAAATGGACAGCATAGTACTTCTTACAGCAGATCGGAAACTATTCCTTTAGTAAACAGCATATGACGAGAGACCGCCAGGAAACTTCCCTTCAGTATTTGAGAGGTTCAACAAGCAGCAAATCTAAGGAAACAGAGATTAAAGAATTATAAGGACAATAGTTTGTAATAACCAAGTGTAAAATATCAGTTTTCTGTACAGGGAGAAATTAAAATGGATGATATGGAAATATTGGAATTTTAAGATATAATCATTGAAGAAAAAAATTTAGAACTTTCAATAGGAGTGCTAAAGAGTAGACTTAATCTTGCTCAGGAAAAATTAATGAATTGAAACCAGAAGAAAATGAAAGAGCTAGCACTGGAGATCCTAAGACCAAACCTATTTGGTTTGAATACTTTCCTTCTCTTTTATCATCAGATTCTCCATCTATAAAATGAAAATTATAATAAGTTTTGCATTTTTGAGTTGATGTGAATGCAACTTTGTAAAATGTGAAGAGCAGTATCTGGTACTGAGTAGGTACTCGATAAATTCCCATTTATCCATTACATTACTGTAATCTCATAGGAGGCATAATAATGAGAAACAGACTGAAAAATAAAAGCAGTTGAGACATGGGAGATCGAATGCAAGTTTTCAACATATACCTAGTAGGAATTACAGAAGGATAAAAGAGGAAAGAAAGAAGACATGACTGAGAGATTTTCGAAAATTGATTTGTTTAGGATTAAAACCAATTAAAATTGATTTTTGAAGATATATAATAATATATATAATACATATATAATAATAAATTGTTTATTGTGTGTCAAGCACACAGAGTAAATAATGTCTTGGGCATCTGCTAGTGGAATTAAGTCAAGGGGTTGTCGAAGTAAATATTGTGTGTGTGGAAGTAGGTTGATACTTTCATTAATTGTGATTGATTTTCTTGCTTTGGGTAAACAATTTGGAGTGGATTTTGAATTTCTAATCTGAACCTTTCACACTTTTTTAATAAAAGGAAGTTTGGCAAAAAAAAGCCCCAGTGTCTAACCTCAAGTGTTCAAATCATGATTATAATGCTTTATAATTCTGAGATATTGTAAAAGATATTTAAGCTCACTCTGCCTAAGATTTTTCATGTCACCAAAATTTTCATTAAGGCAGTATTGATAATTTGGATATTACACATGTACAGATTTTAGAATAGGGTCCTATTCATAGTAAGTGCTCAATAAATTAAATATAACAGTCATAAATATAATGGCTCATTTGAGGAATATTTTAACAAATTTTATATTTTTCTTGTGATAATATCATAATCTACACATAAGTTAATATATACAGTAAGTTCTCACTTAACATCATTGGAAGGTTCTTGGAAACAGCAACTTTAACAAAAACAGCATGCAGCAGGCCCTTGAATATAGTCATTTCATTCATTATTTCATTATAATGTTAAAAGAAAAACAATTGGTTTTATTGTATGTCCTTCCACTTAAAGTCAGTTTCCAAGAACCTATTAACAATGTTAAGTGAGAACCTACTGTGTGTGTATATGTGTGTGTGTAAAACTCATGAGGCAAACAACATAGTTTGTCCAATAAATTGAAAATTATTGTATAAGTAGAATTAAAGTATAAGTAGAAAATATTTCTACTTTTTTCTAACACTTGCTATGGACCTTGAAATCTCCTTTCCCACTGTGTAACTGATTACTGTAACTGCTTCTAATTTGAGCCCATGAATTTGAATCGCTTTAAATGTCTTCACATATTTAATTCAAAGTTTTTCTCCTTCCCAAATTGAGTCTAGCTTTGCAGTCCTTTCCACCAGGTTGGGTGGGGTAGACTCAAGATCTACTCTTTCCTCTGGATCTCTTCTTTTACCTGTTTCTCTACTTGAAAATATACAGGGGAAGAAAAGGTAAAAATAGCCATACAGAGAGGTCGTTGTCCCTATCATGTGGCATGACACCAGTTCCCCAGCTAATGAGAACTGGTTTTTGTTTACCTCTCTATGGTAATGCTGGGCCTTTTAGGAGAAAGATGTGTGATTGTACAAAGGGTACTATAAGATTTGCACAGATCTACCTTAAGCTATTCTTCCTGTCTCTACCACTCACCTACTAAAATTTTGACAAGAAGTTTTTTTTTTTTAATTTTAAATGCTTAATGCAAATGAGTCATCGAAGTAGTGACTGCTTAGTATAATTATGCTTGACATTTATTGAGCCCTTAATATGGTGGTCTACTCCACATTTTGTTGTCACTTGGGCCCTTTGCTAAGGAGGCACCTTACTTCAAAATAGTGATAAGTCAACTTAAGCTTCAGACAATAAATAAGGTGTTCCTGTAATTAATGGAAACCTCATGTATTCTTATCCTGATAAATAGTGAGATATAGTCTACCTCTTGGTTTCCTTGCTTTAGGCTAAACTATCTTCTGGCTTTTTCTTCTATTCTCTTTTCTTTAAGACAGGGTCTCGCTCTGTCATCCAAGCTGGAGTGCAGTGGTGCAATCTCAGCTCACCGCAATGTCTGCCTCCCAGGCTCAAGTGATCCTCCCACCCCAGCCTCCAGAGTAGCTGGGACCACAGGCGCCTGCCAACATGCCTGGCTAATTTTTGGATTTTTTGTAGAGGCGGGGTTTTGTAATGTTGCCCAGGCTGGTCTTGAACTCTTAAGCTCAATCGATCCTGCTTCAGCCTCCCAAAGTGCTGGGATTACAGGTGTGAGCCACCATGCCTGGTCTTCTGGCTTCTTCTCTAATCTCTGGTGACCTCATACTACTTTTTCAGGTGCACTAATGTTAGATGTTTCATTTCCCTAGTTTGTTCCATTTTGCACAGTCACAATTTCATCGTATTGACATTGAGCATATCACTTAAAATTTCTGTTCCTGTTTCTTTACATGTAGTACACAGATCAGGACACTTAATTCATGAAAGGTTTAACTGAGAAAGTGCTGTAAATCACAGTGAATATATGAAGAACCATTAATCCAAACCTCTCTCTCATACACATCACACACACACACAGACACACACACACACACACACACACACACACACACAGTGTTTTAGAACCTACTCTATATGTAAGGTCAAATGCTGTATAATATAAGCATAGAGCCATCATATCAATATTGGTAAAGTTAAAAAGCAGAAGGGGAATAATATTTTGACCTCACTAATTTGTTTTCCCCTTTTGCTGACCCAGCTTTCTACATTCCACAGGGACAGGAAGGCAAATATATCTACAGAAGGATGAGGATATAATTGTATTATTTTTCTCTTGTTGCCACAATAAATTATCACACATTTAGAAGCTTAAGACAACACAGATTCATTACCTCACAGTTTCTGGAAGGGTAGACCTGACTTGGATCTCACAGGACTAAAATCAAGGTGTTGGTATGTCTGCATTTCTTACTAGAGGCTCCAGATATAATCTAATTTCAGACCAAGGCAGAATTCAGTTCCATGTGGTTGTAGAACTGAAGCCTCCATTTCTCTGTTGGCTGTGAATCTTGCTCCTAAGGTATCCACAGTCCTTCTGTGTTTATCATATGGTCTGTAGCCTCCTTCCAATAATAGTGGGTCGCCTCTGTTTCAGGACTGAAACATCTTTCAGTTCAGCCACATTTCTCTGACTCGTTCTCGTGCCTTTCTCTTCGGCTTTTAAGGGCTCATGTGATTACATTGGGCCCACCTGGATAACTCAGACTAATCTCCCTATTTTAAGGTCAGCTGATAAGCAACCTTACTTTCAAAGTTCAAAGAGCAGTACATTGTGCTCTTTCAGGTATACAGTTACACAGTGTCCTCCCAAACTTGAACGCTTTTTTGTATGAGATGGAAGAATTTGCATGCCTTTTTCCTCCTTGGTACCTCTCAGCTTGAAAACAACGACGACAACAACAACAACAAAAAACAGCTGGAAGTTCTCCAACTTGGAATGTAAGTAGAGTTCTAGAGTTCTCTAGGCCTCCAAATTATTAGATAAATTATTTACGCCAATTCTGAGGAAGCAGAAAAATCTCACTAAACATTTCTGTTTATTCTGATACTGCTGGTAGGAAGAAAACAATGATTGTTTCACAGATGAGAACACTCAAGCAAAACAAGATCGGCACAGCACATGGTATTCTAATCAGGCAAAACACCTAGTACACGTTGAATATTCCTTATCTGAAATGCTTGGGACCAAAAGTGTTTTGGATTTCAGATTTCTTTAAATTTATTTTGGAATATTTGCATTATATACTTCTAGTTCAGCATCCCTAATCCAAAAATACAAAAATCTGAAATGTTGTAATCAGCATTTCTTTGAGCATCATCTTGGTGCTTGAAAACTTTCAAATTTTGGAGCATTTTGTATCTTAGATTTTTAGATTTTTGGATTAGGGATACTCAACCTATATATCACCTTTCATTTCTTCAGTACTATAATGTAAATGAGGTTAGGAACATTTTTGATTTTGCTCAATGTTTTGTTTAAGTGCCTTCATATTTCTAGACAGGGAGCAAGCATTCAACAAACTGCATTCACCACTCTAAGTAGTGGGCATTTTATTTGGAATTTTTCAGCTATGCCTGTTAGCATAGATGAGCCTATTTATCTCATGGCCAAAACCTAGATCTGCAAAGACTCTTATATATCAATTAATATGGCCCTACTTTAGGCAGGTAGGTATTATTATCATTCCACTTTACCAGGAAGAGGACTGAGGCCCAAAGTGAGAGGATGATGATCCTGCTAGAAAAATACAGATGGAAGAACATAGCCAAAAGTTGCTGACTCCCAGTGCAGTTCTTTCTTTATTTCACAATTTTGCTCAAGTATAACAAGCTGAAATTGTTTCTTTTCTTCTCTTTGCACACCAGAGAATTTAATCAAAAAGGCAGACAAAAAATTAAATCAAGTTGTTGCCACCAGGATACAGGCTACCTGCCCTTTGCTGAGAAAGATGAATACTTGGTATTGAACATCATCTTACTCCATAAAGAAGGTCCCACCAGGCCCTATCTGCAAAATGTCAAGAGAATTTCCTCCCGAAACCCTGTGGTAAGTGGATAGCCAGCCAATACAAATTAAAAACAGAGTCAGGTAGCAGTGTTGTTCTTATAATGCTATATACCTTGAGCTAGAATAAAGATGAAATCCATAAAACCCAGGATAGGTGCTGGGTCCATTTTGGTTAAAAGAAGAAAGCTGTAAAGCTTTTACTCTTGAATGAGAAAAAAAGGGGGAAAAACAAAAGCTTTCTGGGAGTCTGTTTTTCAATATGGAAGATAAAATTTGGCCAGTTCTGAAAGACAATCTGTTCACTTACTAACTGCATTTAAGCTTCCCAGCAGCCCACAGGAGCCTTTCCAATTTCTCAGAGAAAGACTCGGTGTTCAGGCTGTGAGGTGTATACCAATCAGTAGTGGGACGTGGGTCGCAGCTTCCCTTTAGGCGGGTTGGCTCTTTGCTGAAGATGGGAAGAGTTGGAAGGCAGCCAAAGTGGAGAAACAAACAGAAGTGGTGTCAGTGGATTTTTGTTGTTATAAATGCGAAGTAATTCGACATATTAAAAGTAATATAAAATTACACAAGAATACTTAAATTTGGGGTTTGAAATTAGATTGTCTTTAAATCTGACTGTGAAGAGTATCTTTTTCTCAAAGCCAAGTTTCTATCAGAAATTTAATGCAAAAGATGATGTCATTATATGGTTAAATTAAAAAATGAAGAAAAACAATCTAGCTTCAATCTATGTATTTTGAAACAAGAACAATTTAGTATTCCATGTTTGCCAAGAGAGTCATGTAATATCTCTACTCTATTTTGTCATGTAAGCCGTGCATTTAACAATGTATGCTTTAAGAGAAAAAAAAATTCCTATCCGTGTTTATGAATCTAAAGTATGTTCAGGTACAGAGATTTTATTTGGTTCAGGGTGATCAATAAGGTGCATTCATATAATTTCAAATTAACTCTCATCGTGGGCTGATTTTTATAAGTAATAATGCTAGTTTATTTTCTATCTCTACAGAATATAACCATGTAAACATCTATTCTTATATTGAAAATTTACTATGTTGTAACTTAAGAAAAACTGTATACATTATTTTCTTTCATTAATCAAATAAATTCCTGTATAGAAAACAAACAACATATCCTCAATATCTCTCCATTTCAGAATACAAAGAACTTCCTCATTCTTCCTTACAACTGCATTTTATTTCATTGTGAGTATAAAATCATAGTTAATTTAACTCTTCCCTCCCTCATTAATGATTTCTGTGCTAGTTCTGATATGCTACTATGACAAAAATGCTGCAATGCTATCGATGTACACATGTCATTTCATTTATATCATGTCATATATATGCAGATAAATCTATAGGATAGATTTCATGTGTGAGACTTTTAGAAATAATAATAAATACATTTTAAATTCTGATAGATATTGCCAATTGTGTTTTAAAATTCATTGCTATTATACCATTTCCACCAACCAATGCTTGTGCATGCCTATGGGAAAAATACTGTCAACATCGAATAGAATGTTTCTTTACATTTGCTTTTCAGGTGAGAATATTAGTCTCTATTTTCCTCCTTTTTGCCCTTAGCAAAGAATATGGGAAGAAAGGTTCAGGAAAAGCTGCCATCATAATCTAATTTTATTTTGAGAACTGGTAACTGAATTAGTTAACTGAGTAGTTTGGTAACTGAGTTAAAGTTTAAATAACAAGGACAGCTTTATAATCAATTAAAATAAAAGATAATTTTGACAGCTCAAATGTGAGAAAATGATCACACAGCTAAAGAAACTAGTAAGTACAAAAGTAAATTCCTGGAAAAGTTGATTTCAGGGGAATATGGGTGAAAAGCAAACCCACAAAACATTGGAGTTGTTTTTTGAGTATTCTTTGTGGATTAGACAACTATCTTTGCTGCTTTTCTCCCTCCTTTTCTGCTTTCCTGTCTTCCTTTCCTTTCGTTCTCCCCTCTCCCCACCTCCTCCCTCCCTCCCTTCTTCCTTCCTTCCTTTTCTTCCTTTTCTTCCTTCACTTCTTAACTTTTACCTTCCTGCCTCCCTTTTATACCTATGGAAAATTAAGAATTGAAATGGCTTAATATGAAATTGCAAGCATATGCCTAATTTCCAAATTAACGACTACATTAGTGCTAGTCAGATTTAACTTGTATAAAATGTTTGGGCTCTAGTATAATCTGAGCTATAATTTTTTTATGAATCAAAAGCATTTAGCATAAAATCGTTTTCTTCTTCGGTAGTTACTCAGTGCCAGAAAATATAATGCAAACATGAAAATGACTCAAATTATTTTTTCAAAGACTTCTCTCTATATCTGGGATGCCAGAAACAGAAAGAAGTACTTATAATATAATAAGATATATTAGAATTGAGGTACTAATAATCTATAGTGGGAAGGCAGGTAAGAAAACAGTTCAGGGTGAAGAATTATGATTAGATGAGTGAGGTCAAAACACAGAGAGGAGGCAATGCATGAGCTGGCTTTTCAAAGATAAACTCAATATTTTGTATGTAAAAAAGATAAGGAAGACCTTTTCTGGGGATCAGTAGCCATCACAGATGTGAATTTTAGTAATATGACATTGAAGTACTTTTTAATATGGACTGGATGGCAAAAAGAATTTCAATAAAAATGTATCAGGTGATGAAAACTTGACAGAGGGGAAGTATGAATAAGGAAAAATAATCAGGTGGCAGTAGAGAAAGAAAAAAAAAAACAGGTTTGTGAAGGAGGAGGATTCTCCAGGCAGGGGGTCAGCTTGTCAGATTGGTAAGGAGGCATCAGTAAATGGAGAGAGTTCAGCAAATTAGGTAAGTTAGAAAAAAAGAAAAATCAGAAAAAACAATTCCTTTATGTTGGAGCCAACAATAAAACTGAAATAAGTGAATGTCTCTCTTGAAGCTTCCCTTTTTTCTTTTAACCACATTAATCCATCCTCCTGCTGTGATCATTTCAGTACTGTTGTTCAGACAAAAAAAAAAAAAAATCCCATCATTTTGAAGCCTGAAGCCATTTAGATTGGAGTAGAAGCTTAGTCTTCATACCAAAATTTCTCTCTAAACAAATATTTAATTCACAATATTAGCATGAAAGGATTTTATTACAGTGGCTAAGTTAGTGCCAAAATTTAATGGGACACATTAACTGAGACAAGATATGTTAGGACATCAGATTTACTCTGTTTTCAATTAACTCAACAATTTATCTTTGATGATTTCATTTAATCTCTTATTCAACAAATAATGTTTGAGTGTCAATTAAGTGCCAGGGAATCTTTTAGGAACAGTGAATGCATTGCTTTCCTTACAGAGCTTTCTTCCCAGTGGTGATAAAAAGATAAACAAATGAGTATGAATTATGTTGAATAATGATAAGAGCTAAGAAAAGGGAGTGTTAAATAAGAGAATCACAGTTGTATACAGGATTTTCCAGAGGATTGACTGAGAAGTTAACATTTGAACAAAGAAATGAAGCTGGTGAATCAGCAAGCCGTGTGATGACTGGAGAAGAGCACTCCACACAGAGAGAAGAACAAATGCCCTAGTGTGCTCTAGGAGACTCTCTAGTATATTCTACAAATGGTCAAGATTCCAAGTGACTAAAGCTGAATGAGCACAAAACAGTAGAGAGTGCCACACAGGAATAACAGGGTCCACTTTACATAGGGCCTTGGAAATCATTATGTAGAACTTGATATTTGTTCTGATTTAGATGAGAAGCCACTGAAATGAAAAGAGAAGCAACATAACCAACCTTACTTTTGAACAGGGTCACTCTGGCTACTGTTGAGAATATACTGAATGTACATAAACAAGAAGCAGGAAAACCATTAAGGAGACTATTAACAAATCCAACTGTGAGTGAGGTAGCTTGGAATGGAGATGCAGCAATGATGATAGTAATAGCGTCAGAAAGGAGTAAGCTGATTCTGGATAAATGTAAACAGACTCTGTATAAATGTTGATGATAAAGCTGACAGAATGTGTTAATGAATTGTATGTAGAATGTTAAAAAACAGCAAAGAGTCAACGGAAGCTACACATTTTAAGGCCTGAGCAATGGAAAGAACAGAGTTTCCATTTAACAATATTGCAGACACTTTTCGGAGATCAGTTTGAGAAGGAATAGTATAAGCTCAACCTCTAAATGTTAAGCTTAAGATGTCTATTAAACATCAAGTTTAGATGTCTAGTAAATCATTGAATACATGAGTTTGTAGTTTAGGGGAGAAGTCCAGGCTGGAGATTTAGATTTGGAATTAATCAGCAATTATTTATTTGTTACCAATTATGTCCTTTGAATGTAACAGACATTTTAGAAAGACAGATACGGTTTTGCCTTCAAAGACTGAGAGTGAAACTTCAAAAATGTAATGTATACTAGTAAAATAGCAAGAAAGCAATTGTACAGATCAGTGCTAAAGCATCTTTATCTCAAGGAGAGAGATGGTTGTAGCTGAAAAGAGTTACATAAAAGAGATCAATCTTCAGAAGCCAGAAACATTTTCATCAGAAATATTGAGGAAATAGATGTTTTAGAAAGAGAGGCTTGAGAAGGGTTTGAAAAGGAAATGGAGTTTCACTTCCTTTGACCTGACTGATCTCCCTTCATCATTTTTTCCACTCACCTCCATCATTACATTTGTAAAAGTTTTCTTTTAAAAATATGATCCATAAATATATATATTTCTATTATGTACCCGTAAAAATTAAAAATAAAAAACTCATAATCTTCGACTTTAATTTTCTGTGTACTACTGAGAGAGACAGGAGACAGCCAAGGGTCCCTGCTGAAACCCCACCTTCAAGCCTAAAACAGCCTGAAGGCTGAAAGAGAAGACTGCTGGTGCTGGATGAAACCCATGACCCAGATGGAGAACTGCTCCTGTTTGCCCACCCTTTCCCAAATGATTCTTTATGAATAATGCCCACATGCACACTACAAGAACAGAGTGGAGCCACCAAGAATTTGTGCCTTGTGCAGTGGGGAGGAGCCTGGCCTCTCTTCAGCTTGTGTGTGTGGCGGCCTGGTATTCAATCTGTGAAGTGGGAGCCTGTTGGCAGGATCCCCTCTTGCTTTGCTGAGAGTTTTTTGTTTTTTTTGTTTTTTTGTTTTTTTCCTTTTCACCCAATAAATTTCACTCTCCTCACCCTTCATTCTGTCCCTATGCCTAATGTTTCCTGGTTCTGACACAAGAACCCAGATTTAGCTGAACTAAGGAGCAAAAATCCTGCATCACTACAAACCACACTATTTCTATGATACACAGCACCCTTCACTTATTAGCTGCAGTGTCATCACGGCCTGTGTTTCTCATTCTGAAATGCCTGCCTCTTTCACAAGAGCCAGGTGGTTTGCCCTGAGCTCCGTACCATCTATTTGCATGATTCTTTTGTTTTTCTTTCCTTTCCTCTATGACTGCTCTACCTGACATTAATTTATGAAACTCATCTTATCTTGCAATGTTCTGCTTCAATGTCCTCAAGTAAGATTTTAGGACTCACTGAACATCCCTCAAAGACTAAGACTACATGCTTCTCACAGCCTGGGGAAGTAAAATACTCCTTTTTCCTTTTGCATTTAACAATTTGTTTATGTGTGTGTTCTAGTGGATAACACTTTGCAATGGTTATTTACTAGTTCATTTTTCTGCTCTACTATATGTTGAACTCCTCAAGGCAGTTACTCCATCCTGTTGATCTCCCTGTTGGTTGAGGCTATCAAAGTTACTAATACATAATAAATCCTCAATAATTTTTTAAAAAATCACAATTAAATTTAAAGGAAAAATGTATTTCTTTAAAATTATGTTTGCTTTAATATTATGACCCTTAGCTAAGTGCCATTTAGATTTTAATTCCTCAGAGAAGAAATGCTATTATTTTACTTATTTATATTACATCAGGATAACTTGCCAAACTCACATTTTTAGTTCTAATTCATCATTTCTTATATTGATAATTATATATATAATTATTTTGATTTTACAGATGAGGAAAAGAAGTATATGTATCTTTAAATCTTTATGCCTTTTTTAAAATTTTATTGATTAACCAGAATTTCTGGTAACATGTTGAAAATAGAAAAGATAGTTGCCAGACTTGTTTAATTCCCCCCTCCTTTATAAGCATGCTTCCAAGACTTCATCATTACATATCTTGCAGTGGTTGAGAGTATAAACATGAAAATCAGAATACTCAAGATTGTATCCTAACTGCCTCAGTTACTAACGGCCCAATCCTATAATAATTTAACTTAATCTCGCAATGCCTTCATTTCCTCATCTGTAAAATCAATATAATAATCAGATTAAGTGATATAATATATGTAGAGTACTTAACACAGTGTCTAGGTTATAATGCCTTCAATAAACATTAATTATTGTCATTTTTTTTTGTTTCACTCTGCTGAAGTTCACATTAACAAGTCTAATAGTTCTATGTGCTCAACTTGCCCAACTATTTAACTGCTTGTTTCTTCATCGGCCCTTAAATAATACATTACCTTTTATTTATTTTTTATTCTTTCTATCTCAAAGGCAACTTTTTAAAAATCCATCTATGGCAACTTCTCTAATCAATATGTAAATTTTAAAGAATTTACTATATAAAGCTAACCGATTTTCTCTCTTCCTTCTGTAATATTATGGTGGTTTAATTAACCCATTTTCATGGCTATAAATACAGTCTACTGGATGATAGTGTGCTTGTATTTGTATTTTCAGGTCCAGATCTCTCCTGAGTTCAAGACTTAGGCACCAATTACCTATTTGACATCTTCATTATGTTTAATAAGCATCTAAAGTATCAAATCTTCAAAACAGAACACCTGATAACTGTTCCTATGAAAATAACTTCTTCCTACTCTCACACCCATCTCAATAGTACCAAGTCTGTTTTTCCATTTGTTCAGATCAAAGCAAATTGGAGTCATCTTTTTTTTGCACTGCAATATCTGATACTTGAACAAATTATTTTGACCCTCCTTTCAGAAATATATCCAGAATTTGACCACTTCTTATTCACTCCAAGTCTATTACACTATACCTACCACTTATCAGCTACTGAATTCTTTAATAATGTGCATTTGGTCACTTTGTCTCCACAATTGTTTCTCTACAGTCTCTAACCCACATCGCAGTCAACATGTTTCTTTTTTAGTTTGTTTGTGTTTCTTGAGCTTAATGAGAAAGCAGTCAATGTATTTCTTTAAGTATGTAAGTCAGATGATCTCATTTATTTGCCACTAATCCTGAATGCCTCCTTTCCCACTAAGAATACAATGCAGAAATTTCCCTGTGGTGTACAAAGCCTTACACAATTAGCTATCACACTGAGCTTGTCAACTCGGACTGTCTTGTAACATGTAAAACATTTTAATCACATCAGTCTCCTTATGACTCTTGGAGCTGACAAAGTTAGCTCCTATTTTTCACAAGTTTTACACGTTTCTATTTCCTTTGCCTGGGATGCCCTTCCTCAAACTCTTCATAAAGCTAACTTCTGATCATCTACATTCTCTCTCAAACATCAATTTTTTACAGATTGTTTCTTATCACCATATCTAAAACATCCTAGTCCAGTCTACACTATTACCCTGTTTCATTTTCTTCGTGGAATTTATATTACCTGAACTATATAATTCAGATAGTATAAGCATGTCTCCCACCATCCATCATCCATTTACTTCATTTGATTCCAGTATACATGTATAACAGTATCTGAATTGTTAACTTATATGCCTGAGGGAAATAATCATTAACTAGACTATAGTTTTTATGCGCAGTTCGTTTTGCCTTTAGTTTTACAGACAGATTTATCTCCAAAGCTACGTTTGCACCTTTTCCTTCACCCTCTTCAGTGATATCGCTTCATACATTTGTAATAGAGTTAGACTCTTTTCATTGTCATCATTCTTTCCTAGCTGGAATTTCAAACAGCTCCTAAATGATACACACACACACACACACAGAGACACATGTATACACACGTATATTAACTAGGCTACAGTTAAAATTTGCTCTTGTAAAGTTCTACAGGTTTTAAAAAGCAAAATGTTATATATATTTTATAACAGTGTCATACAGTATTTTCACCTAAAAACCACCTGGCAACCCGCTCAACTTCCCTCACTCCCAAGACCCTGGAAACTACTTAGATGTTTCATATCTCTATAGTTTTGCCTTTTCTTGAACATCATATAAATGGGATCACACAGTCTATAGCCTATTCATACCAGGTTCTTTTACTTAGCAATATACATTTAATGTTCATTCATGTCCTTTTTATGGCTTGATAGCTAATTTTTATTGCTAAATAATATTCCATTGAAGGAATATAATAGTTTATCCATTCAAGTATTAAAAACATATTTCATGCTCGCAGCTTTTAGTAATTATGAATAACATTGCAAAAAACATATTCATGTGCAGATTTTTGTACAGACATAAGTTTTCAACTTTGGGTAAATACCAAGGAACACAGCTGATTGCTAGATCATATAGTAATACTGTATTTAGCTTCACAAATATCTTATAAATGAGCCAAAGATGGCCTTTGTATATTGGCCCCTAAGTTGTTTATGTCTTCATTGCCCAATGAGACCCGTTCACTCACAAGCCCATCAGCTAACCTCAACCTAAACAACCAAATTTTTAGTCATTAGAGCTTGCTTGCTTTGCATACTACATGCAAATAGATGTAGCATCTATTGTCTGTTGATAACACAGGGCTTGTATTATAAGATCCCATGCAACTACCACCCTTCAGAATTTCTAATCTAGATATAGCTGGCTGTGCGACTTAGAGACAACACCTAGACACATAAGTTCCCTTTCAAATCCCTCTTTCTCCCTTAAAAGTTTTCTTGTTCTGCTCACTACTGCATGGAAGTCCCCTTCCATGCAACCTGCTCCATTCAATAAATCTTGTCATCTGTTATTGTGTGTTACATGTCTTCTTCCTTGTGCAGTCCCCCCAAATCCCTTGAACATTCTACAGAAAGAAACAACCACACTGTCTTCTAAAGTGAATATACCATTTGCATTCCCAGCAGTAATGAATGACATGCCTGTTACTCCACAACCTGGCCAGCATTTGGCATTTTCAATGTTTCTAATTTTAGCAATTCTTATAGATGTGTAGGGGCATCTTGTTTTAATTTGCAATTCCTTAATAAAAATGATGTTGAATATTTTTATATGTCGATTTGCCACCTCCGTATCTTCTTTGGTGAGTTGTTTGTTCAGATTTTTGATGACTTTTATAGGGTTGTTTCCTTATTGTTTAGTTTTAGGAGTTTTAAAATTTTTATTATTTATTTATTTTATAGTACCACTACCACACTGAATAGAAGTTTAAAAAAATTGTTTACAAGTTGTTTGGAAGCTTTGTGTTTTGCAAATATTTTATCCCAGTCTGTGGCTTGTATTTTTGTACCCCAAAAGATTATTTTGAAGAGCAGATTTTTTATTTTAACAGACTAAGTAATCAGGGTTTTTTGTGTGTGTGCGTGTGATTTTTATGTTGTATATAAAAATTCATTGCCAAACCCAAGATGCAACTTTATCATTATACAATGATAAATACAACCCAAGATCACCTAGATTCTTTTCTATGTTATCTTCCAGAAGTTTTATAGTTATACACTCACATCTTTCCCTTTAACCTATCTTAGTTTTTATATTCAAAGTAGGTTTCTTGTAGAAAATGTATAGTTGGGCCTTTCCCTCCCTCCCTTCCTCCCTCCCTTCCTTCCATCTTTCCTTCCTTCCTTCTTTCCTTCCTTCCTCTTTCTCTCTCTCTCTTTCTTGCTTTCTTTTCTTTCTCTTTCCTTCTTCCTTTTTTTGAAACCAGGTCTTCCTCTCTCCCTGAGGCTGGAGTGTAGTGGCATGATCATGGCTTGAACTCCTGGGCTCAAGCAATCCTCCTGCCTCAGCCTCCTGAGCAGCTGTGACTATAGGCATGCACCACTGCACCTGGCTACGTTTTTTTTTTTTTTTTTTTTTTTTTGTACAGAGAAAGTCTCACTTTGTTGCCCAGGATGGTCTCAAATTCCTGAACTCAGGTGATCCTCGTGCCTCAGCCTCCCAAATTGATAAGATTATAGATCATGAGCCACTGCATGCCAGGCCAGGTCTTGTTTTTTAGTCACTCTGATTGCCTTTATTTTTAATTGTTGTATTTAGGCCATTTACATCTAAGGTGATTGTTTATATAATTTGATTAATACCTACCATGTTGCTGTGTTCTCTTCATTGCACATATTCTCTGTTTTTCATTCTATTTTCCCTCTACTCTTCTGTCCCTTCTGGTTATAACTGAGCATTTTATAAGATTTCATTTTGTTTCTTCACTTAGCATATCAATTATACCTCTTTTAAAGTTTGTGTTAGTGGTTGCCTTAGAGTTTGCAATAAATCTTTACAACTAATTTAAGTCCACTTTTAAATAACACTTTTTGAGGAATGCAGGCACCTTATAACCTTAACTTTTTCTGTCTTCAACACACTTTCTCTTTTGATATAGACCTGAGTTTCTGACCTATATCATTTTCCTCTGAGGAACATCTTTTAATATTTCTTGTAGGAGAGGTCTACTGGCAATAAATTCCCTCAGTATTTGAAAATGTTTTGTTTCCTTCACTTCTGAAGAATAATTTTGCTGGTGCAGTAAATTTGATAACTTTTTGTTGCTTTGGCATTCAAGTATAAATTGAATTTTCTCATTCCAGAAGAAGGACTTAGTTATCCTTGACACAGTTTTCTATATTCCCCTTCATTTCAGATTGCTGGGTGTCAGTTTCCTATGTGACCTGAATTTTTTGATGGGCCTAAGAAAAGTAATTGGTTTTCGGTATATTCATCTTTTTCCTTGTAGAATGCAAAATTATTGTAAAATTTTATTTTCAAATATTAATGAAATTTCATACTTGCTGAGGGCTTCATATTGCAGTCAGATCCTTATGCTATGGATTATCTTTATTTTTCCCATATCTCACATTGCTTGAAACTCTTCAACAAATTCTACTCCTCTTTCCCTTCTTCACTTTTTCTCTGTAGCTCTTCCTTACTCTCATTCAGCCATTCTCTCCTTTCCTTTTTCAATAAACTCCTACTCCCCTCTTTGATAATCTTTCTTCTTTTCTTTCTTATTTTGAACATCCTCTCCATTCCAAAATCAGAAGATTTCTCTATATATTCATTTTTCTTCTACACTTCATCTTTTATTTTATTTAAGCAGGAAAAGAGAGAAAAAAGAAAACAAGGCCAGGCGCGGTGGCTCACGCCTGTAATCCCAGCACTTTGGGAGGCTGAGGCGAGTGGATCATGAGGTCAGGAGATCGAGACCATCCTGGCCAATGAGGTGAAACCCCATCTCTACTAAAAATACAAAATTCAGCTGGGTGTGGTGGCATGCACCTGTAATCCCAGCTACTTGGGAGGCTGAGGCAGGAGAATTGCTTGAACCAGGGAGTCGGAAGTTGCAGTGAGCTGAGATTGCACCACTGCACTCCAGCCTGGTGACAAAGAGAGATTCCACCTCAAAAAATAAAAATAAAAATAAAAAAAGAAAACAAAATGAAGTCAGCTTATGTTTAAAGACTAATCATTCTCTAAAGGCTCTGAAATGTAATAAATTGACTCTCAGAATCTCTATAGAAATTTATGTTGGGCATTTCTTCATTTGTTTATTAAATATTTTTATCTACTCCAAGAATTCAATACAAAGGACTAATTTTATTCTATTTTTTCTCTGTTTTGTGTAATTGGTACTATTGCAACACTATCATTTTCCTACTATTTTCCTTTGCAATTACACATTTGCAACCATATTGTGGCCTAAATAGAGTTCTGTTGGTTTCTCGGAGAACCTACCATTTATAGCATTGTTTCCATGGGAAAATTACTCTCTAGGTCTAAACAACTAGCTACATGCAACTTTTTTAGACAGGTTATTTATAAATGAGATAAAGCAGTTATCTTCCTCCTATTCTGATCTCCTCCTCCCCATTAATCAAAGAAAAGACTGGATGCCAATTTTTCTCACAAGACCAGACACAAATTCTGTTTCTAATAATAGCAACGACATTAATTTACTGAATGCCTACTCTGGGTGATGTAGTAACCTGTGTGAAGTACAATATAGTTATTAACCATTTAATTTTTCAAATGAACTGTATGAATTATTATCACAACTTACATGTGAAGAAATTGAGGCCCAAGTTGATTAGGAAAATTTCTCAAAGTCACAATGTTTCTAAGTGGCATAACTGACATTTCAACCTGATTCGTGTGAAGGCATGCAACACTAGGCTGCAACTTAAAGATGATGCTAATTAAATATAAAGGCAACATTGGTATTTCTAATTGCTCCATTATTCTGCATATATTTAATTCCTAATGTATTATATAATGCTGTCTCAACGGAACTGCACCAACCATTGCTATAGTCTGTGTAACCACAAATAAAAAGGTATTATCTACCCATATGTCACTTTTAGAATACATTTCATGGGAGAATATATATTTATGCAGAGGAGAAATTCTAGCATTCTGGAGTGCTGAATATTATAAAAGCTGATGGAAAAAGTATAATATCTTAACAATAAAAATAACAACGGAATTATGATTGTTTGATAGATCATAAAATTGTCTGAGTTTTATATCCTTTTACATTTTAACTATCCTTTTTTCAAGTATTCTTGAGACATCAAGGTGAAATGCAAGTTAAAAAAAAACAAACAATTAACCAAACAAAAGTACTCAGCATAATCTACAATCTGTCTCTGTGATGACAACCTAAAATAAAATCTGTTCTAGCATATTTAAATACAGTGTACTCCTCTGTGTCTGCCCAAATGACATCATAATATGCTATATAAACAATGTTTTTCAGAAGTTTAAATAGAGGAAAATGTGAGATTTTAGTCACTATGTGGTTCTCAGTGTGCAGGCATTCTTAACTCCAAAGACCCATAAAACAGAATACAGAATAATATTAAAGTCTTAACTTATATGCATTGTAGATAAAATGTTTACAGGTTCAAACTTTCAAACAATTATTATCTTTCTCATTTCTACTGAACTAATTAGATATAATATGCACTTGGCATATTTTTATAATGCTACACTACTAAACTTTATAGTATTATCAACACTGTTAACAACGCAGTGACATCTCATTAAAATTGATATTTGTGGTGGTGCTTTGATTATTAATATATTCTGATAATCTTATGTTAATAAAGATTTGATATTTATATTTTTATACACCATTCTTTTTCAATATACATATCGTTCCTGATATTATTGAAGTCAAAATATAAGAACAGAATAAAATAAAACTTAAATGGCGATTTAATAGAATAACATGACCAATTACCTATTATTATTCTAGTTAATTTGGTCTTGGTAATGATAAATAACTTTTCTCATTTTTATAACTGTAAAAAAAACTATAACCACAAGGAGGTTTACCTTGACATGCTATTTATAGAAACTTGATCTTAATAAACTATGTTTAATTTCACTGGATGTCCCACAATTATTTTCTTGTGAAAAAGACCCAAGCAGTACTCAAGTGTGATAAGTTCTAGTGTGTAAACAAAATGTAATAAATGTAAAAAACTTAGTCCAGTACCTCTTACACAATAGAAGTAAGTAATTTCCACTTTCATTATTAATTGACATAGATAAGCTTAAAAGGCCTTATGAACATACAGATTTTTATTTCATACTACATGAAAGAAAATGCCTTTTACTAGGAATAATAGTCTATATTAAAGGAAAAATCTGCGTGTCACTTTAGGTGTCAAAAAAGACTTAAAAAAAATGTATCCCCAAATTATATTTCTCTCTCAAGAAAATACACTATTCCTTGCCAACATTAAAAAGTCAATTTTATCATAGAATAAAAATCAAAGACATACACTTAAAAATTATAAATTAAGATTATCATCTTCATAAAACAATACTCTAATTTTGCTCTCCTGGGAGTAAGGCACATTACTTTCATCAAATTCAACTATAAAAGCTCTATTTCACACTTAAATAAAAAGGATATGTTAAAATGTAAAACAATACCTTATAGTATAAATAGAAAAAAATTGACAAAACAATTATATCTTATACTCTTCATTATCTGCTCAGCTTCTGTAGTTGTTAAGGTCAAGAGACAAATGTTAACAGGAAGGCTGAATTTCAATAGATGTGATAATACAGACTTTAATCACAAATGTTAAATGCTTTCCATTTGGTTGGCTATGGAAAAAGACCTGAAGCTCAACTATAGATGATAATTAGAATGATAAAATTCAGAAATATAATATCAAAACACTGCAGATTCCAAACAATTTTTATTTTTGATTGACTACTCTTATACAGATTCCTATGGTTTAAAGGGGAAAAATGTTTCCTGCTTATGAGGAGAAATTTATTCCAACAACTTTTTAAGAAATGTTCTAACCATACTACTTATTCTAATCAAACCAGTCAAACTGTCAAAGATCTTTAACCATCAACATCATCATCATCATCATCATCACCTGTAGTGCTAGTAGTAGTAGTAGTAATAGTAGTTAAGATTATTTTGGTGGGTACAAGAGTCATTTGTATTTATAATTTATTGCATGTGTTTTTATTTTGTTCTTCAATTGTTTTCAAATTATTAAGGTTGCTTATCTACTTATATTTATTTTCTAAATTAAATACAGACAGTATTGAGAGGTTTATTAGTAAGCTAAACTTTATCATAAACTTAAAGCTGGCTGCTTTTTGCCTTCACATAAGCAGATTTTCTTTTAGGATGCTATATTATCTCATGATAGGTCTTCCTTCATGTTTGATTATTTGATCACCAAATGAGCTTGAGGAGGCTGGAGTTAAAACAGCTGCCCTGCTCTGCATTGATTATCTTTACTGGGGGATGCCTTTCATAAAATAAGAGAAAATTGCTGATCTGCTCTGAATAGGTTTGCCAATTAGACCTCTTGGGAGATTAACCTAATGATATTTGCCAGAGTTCTAAGCTACAGAATATTCTTAGCAACATACCTTTGCCTAAAGATTACTTATAGTTAATAAATCCAGGATCTATGGATTTCTGAGGCACGGTAAATTTTATAACACTCTGAGGTATAAAGTGGAGGTATTTCACAACCTAAACTCTCCCTCCTTGCTGCGTGAGACGACCCCACAGAACCTCACCTAGGGACCTTGTCCATTCATTCGGGGCCAAAAATACATGGAACTAGTGTGGAAAGAGAAGGAGCTGCTCTAGATGTCCCAGACCTCTTTTTGCTTTTGTGCCTCTTGATTGCCTTTGATCTTAAAATTATTAGAACATTTGATATTAGCTGATATTTGTTAATATTAAAATCTTTAATTTGTATGAGTCTTATTTAACAATCCAATCTTGAATATTAACTTAGAATCTTATCTAAAATAATGGATTTTGTTAACCAGTGAATCCCATAAGACAAATAAGTATTATTTTCTGTTCCAAATGATACCTGACCTTAAAATAAATATGAGATTAGAAAAAAAGTTGTCTCATTATTTTTGAATTCTTTAACTTTTATGTGATATTTTATGTCAAATTTAGACTCCCTTTCACTCTTCTTTCCTGGAAAGCAAGCAAAGCAAGAAAAATTAAAAGGAAGAGTCAGCAAGTTAAAATATTTTACTAAAAATGTGGGGTTTTAATTTAAAAATATATGTAATAAACCTTTGAAATTCTAACTTTAATTTTAAAAATTTAAAATAATAAATAATAAGCTAAAATAACATAGATACATTAACGCAAATGTATTTTGCGTTAATGTATGTATTTTGTATTGCAGATACAAACTTCCTCTTGCAGATGATTTTCTGGATGATCAACTGTGAAAAAATATTATGCAATTTTTCACAGGGGCTGATGCAAGGCCACACCTCATTTCTATATAAAAATTTACCAAAAACCATTTCCTGAGAGTTGCTTATCTTTTCCACACTTTAAACATGGTAAAATGAATACGTTTGACTAATGAGAAAGTTTTCAAATACCTGAGTTCTTTGTCTCATTAATTCTAGGATAGGCAACATCAGTCCTTTGCAGTAACATATAACAAGAAAAAGCCCTATAAATGCATAGGAGTATAGCACATTTAAATAATTTTCACCAAGCTGATACTTACATGTTTACCAACGCTAGCATTTCTGCAGGGGTCGGGATACAAGAGTGTCTGTTTTCAAAGACTTATCAGGATACATTGAAGAAAATATCAGTTTAGATGTAGTAGATGTTAAGGAATATGTCTTTTTTTTTTTTTTTTTTTTTTTTTGAGACGGAGTCTCGCTTTGTTGCCCAGGCTGGAGTGCAGTGGCACGATCTCGGCTCGCTGAAACCTCCGCCTACTGAGTTCAAGTGATTCTCCTGCCTCAGCCTCTCGAGTAGCAGGGTTTACAGGCATGCACTACCACGCCCGGCTAATTTTTGTATTTTCAGTAGAGACGGGGGTTTCGCCATGTTGGCCAGGCTGGTCTTTAAATCCTGACCTCAGGTGATCCGCCCACCTCGGCCTCCCAAAGTGGTAGGGTTACAAGCGTGAGACACCGCACCCGGCCAGAAATATGTTTATTTTTAATGTGCATGCTTATATTAATTTCTTTGTCTTCGCAACGAAAAATTATTTAAAATATGTTAATTAAATTATTTAGAACATTATTTTTAAGTATAGAAATTAATTTGATAGTCATTATTAGAAATGTTTATTTTATTATCAGATAACGATATTGTCTAGAAAAAAAATTCCAACCCCACCAAAAATTTCTAGCCTCAAATGATTTTCCAAATAGATTTTCTTAACAGAATTACTGCCTATCTGAAATGGCAATATTGAAATAATCATCAGTTGTAGTGTTCATTTTTCAAAATTGCCTTAATGTTGTTATTGTTAAATACTGATGATGAGAACAATGATGTCTATTTTGCTTAGAAGACATATCCAAAGAACCTGTTTTTAAAGAGCTGAATACCATTATATTAGAAAGCCTTAATTATCTCCACCTCTGATTTCCAGTTTCTTTTCTAACTTTCACATGCGGATTTAAATAATCTCAATCCCCAGGCTCTTTAAAAAGAGGCACAGCAGAAGACACACCTACAAATTTTAAATCAGTAACATCAAATCATATTCTACCTGTTAAGATGCTTTATTAATAATAAATCAGAATAAACAAAGCAAAAACTACCTTTACTTGATTTCCACTAGACAGTTTTTGTATAAGAGGGAGATTTTAAGCAGTGATAATGACCCTTGCCAGGGAATCTAGTTCATGCATAAAAATTGGGAGAGTCGTAGCCTTTTCCACTTCCCATCCCTGCTCTAATTCTGAACCACCGCCCCTCTCCACCATCAGATATCTATAATGGTGTGTCTTGCCCCTGTTTGTTTCATGTTTCCATATTCAATCATATTATATTCATAAGGGGTATTTGAAGGCTTTATCTCCTTTATTGGAGATCTGAATCCAAGCCACATAACCACTTTTCTTGGGACATTATCTTGAAACACAGAGCAGTATCCTCTGTTTATTGCATATCAGCACTAGCTCTAATCAAACCTTCCTGTTCTGCTACCCCACCTGCAATTTCCGTAATTAGGTATTGTACCAAACAGTACCCTCTATAGACTTTGTGGTAGGCTGAATGATGGCTGCTCCAAAAACGTTCATGTCCTTTAGAGTTTGCAGATGTGATTGAATTAAAGATTCTAGGAGCAGATGCTCCTAGTTTATTTATTTAGGTCTACTAATGTAATCATAAAGGTCCTTATAAAAGGAGGCGGTAAAGTTGGAAATTCAGAGAAGGAGATGTCACAGTAAAAGCAAGCAGCTGGAGCAAGGTGAGACATATGAGAAGAGATTTTAGGAAACATTTACTGCTTACTTACTAAACCTTTCCTATCCATTTTTGTTGATTTTATTTTCAATGTTAGTTTCAGATTTTCAAAAATGCTATCACTAACTCTTCTATTATTTGATTTTTGTTTATGTACCAAGCTTTTTAGAAATAAATTTTAATTTATTTTCTGATTTTTTTATTCATTATGTCCTTTACTTGTAATTCTCTTAAATACTTCATTACATTTCAAAGCCACATTAAGCTGTTATTTAGATTTAACTATAAGCATAATTGAAGTTAAAAATATTTTGTGTGTATGTTTGGAAAGAATTGAACATTCTATTTGAAGAAAAAATAAAAATACTAATTGATTAGAATTTTATGTATGTTTACAAAATTTTGTTTGTGTTTACAGTTTTTGGGAGGAGTCTTCACATACATAGTTTTATTGGTTTACTGGTTCTTGAAACAGGTTGCCAAATTTCTAATTAAAAAGATTATAATCATTTATATTACCTCCAATAATAATTAAAATTAAAATGACAATCAATAATTACTCTCAAATTTGCATGTCTCCATTGCAATTTCAATAGTTTTTCTAGCAGGTTGAGTGAAATATATTTTTCTATTGCTTTTCTCTGCACATTTATTAAAAGTGACCATTTTTCTAATATTAAAGAGTATTATGAAAGCATAAAGCCAGATACACTTTGTCAAGTCACAGAGATTACTGCTCCAATTCAATGCTAACAAAAGTGAGTTTACCCTTCTCTCAGAATCCTACTTTCTGCTATGGCAAAGTTTAGATAATGTTAAAACCACATAGTAATTTTCTAAGTCTTAAAACCCAAAGAATCATAGATGTCTTTTCCCTATCCTTTACCCAACACATTCTATCAATTAGTGAATTTTACTTATCCCATATTTTGAATGTCTTTTGTCTTTCAGTAATTTTCACTGTGCCTTTACCATTTGGATCCTTATTAACCTTTACCTTTCATTATTCCAGTATGATTTTCTTTTCTCTGTCTCTAGCGTGTCCAGGCTCCAATTCATCCCTACCACTGCTGACAATGGTAAATATCTAAAACAAACATGTTATCAGTTTACTTTATCATCTAAAAAACATACAATGCCTTATAGTAGTATATAAGCCAAAAAATACAAATTCCAAAACAAAGCTTCCACATTCAGCTGCAGATCTCATTTCCTAACTAATTTCTTATTGCATTTTTCCACTATTTCTCTGCACCTTTTGCCCAAGATTTGAAGAATCCTCATCTTTTCTGGGTATATCCATCCTCCATAAGCTTTTGTGTATTACAAATGTGTTTCATATAGTTGGCTTTGACCTAACTGGTAGGTCATGAAATTAATTCAGTGGGCTACAACTAACATCTTTCAATAAAATAGAAGTCAAATGTCTTACACCATTTATATATTCTGTAAATATATATTTAACTAAGTGGCATGATTCTTTAATGATATACTTCTGCCTAAAGTATGTAATGACACTTATAGACTACATTAGATTTGGGCAAAGTTTTTTTTGTTCGTTTGTTTATTTTTTGAGACGGAGTCTCGCTCTGTCGCCCAGGCTGGAGTGCAGGTAGCGTGATCTCGGCTCACTGCAAGCTCCGCCTCCCGGGTTCACACCATTCTACTGCCTCAGCCTCCCGAGTAGCTGGGGCTACAAGTGCCTGCCACCACGCCTGGATAATTTTTTGTATTTTCAGTAGAGACGGGGTTTCACCGTGTTAGCCAGGATGGTCTGGATCTCCTGACCTTGTGATCCGCCCGCCTCGGCCTCCCAAAGTGCTGGGATTACAGGCATGAGCCACCGTGCCCGGCCCCAGATTTGGGCAAAGTTTTAATGCTTCTTTTCACCTGTATTGATTATACAGTTTGGAACTCAAATACAATATCTCAGAACATTTATTTTAAAGAAAATGTTTTTTCTCTAAATGAAACTTTTACAGATTCCGTAAGTGGAAAATACATGTATTAAAAACTATGTTAATATATAAATAGTTAATAAGTTTAGTTGAAAAAATAATCTAAAAATTCTCTTTGATCTCTAGGCAAGGGGAATGTGCTATATATGGTGTGATACAAAATAGAAAATTGCTAGTTTGCTAACTTTATGAAGCTCACAATCGAGTTTGTTGCAGGCAGAAGGGCTTCAGTCACAAATGTCATAATATTTCTAGATTTAAAAATAGCTATAAATGGCCACCCAAAACATAGTATGAGGTAGTATACAGTAATCATCCAAATAAATTAACAAATATAAAGTATAATTTCTAAAAGCATTATGATTTTATATTATGGTGGTGAGTAAAATTAAGCAAAGCATGGTACAAATCAAAGTGATAATGAAGCACAATAATTTTAAGAAGAGGATTAATAATTTTAAAATATATGAACAATTTACAATTATCTTAATAATTTTGGTACAAGTGAGCAGAATAATTAGGTGACATAATAGTGTATTCAATTACAAATTTGTATATTATAAAGATTAGCAAAATTGAAGACAAAATATAACTACATTAGGAATAGCAATTTTAAAAATTAAAGTTTGAATTGGTTCAGATGAGCATTAAAATCAAAGAAAATAAAAAGTTATGAAAATGTTAAGAAAACACTATTTGTTAGCAAAATAAAGTGAAAGGTAACAAAGCCATTAGTCTCAAAGAAAAGTCCAGAAATAGGGAAATTCAAAGAATATTTAACGTCCAACTAAATCTGTGTATCACCCTTTTTAGATCAGAAACTGATCGTCTTCCTGCAATCAATCATGATAAATATAAGAACTAGTTAAAGAAAATAATAACTGTGGCTAGAGAAAAATCTTGTGTATGGTGACTTATAACATCAAAGATTATAATTTATATGTTCTGTCTACTTAGCCTATATATTATGTAATATTCTTATTGGGATTGTTTTTTCAGGAGTTATGCTCATCTGTTTGCCTTTATTCAGTTTGATACAATTTGCTAAGACCACATTGATTTGACTTGATTTCCTAAGACCCCTTTCCTGCCTTGTATGCCAGGACATATGGAGAAAGGGCAGGATACATGGAATTGCAAACAATTCAGTATGGAGTGAGGGCATTGAGAAGCAGTGATTATTAAGCCTTTTATTCAATGATGAAAAGATTTATTTGCCCCATGGCAAAGAAAATGTTTCCAAACATTTTAATTCAGAAAATGATATGGTAAATTTATAATTTTAAAAGATTACTCTGGGATTCATATAGAAAATAGATCAGTAAAGAGTTTGAATATATCCAGAAGCATGAGTTAGGAAGTTCTTACAATACATAATAAATAATAAAGCCCATGCTGAAAGAATCATTATGAAAATAGAGATAATATAAGAAAATATTTAAAAGAAAAAATATATAAAATATACACATAGAGAGAGGGAGAGAAGTGAGTGTAGATAAATTGTTGGGTTTGTTATATAACATTAAGCAGAGAAATTAGCAATATTGCCATTTTACTAATCAAGTCTCAATATTACCCATCAATATTACCCAAAAATATACTCTACTTTGAGAAACAGAAGTCTCTTTGCTAATACCTTAATTTCTGGATTCCTCTGCCTAAGTCTCAGCTTTCAAATTTTAACCACTTTCACTTACTATATTACCAAATGTATGATTTATTTTATACTCCATAATTATCCTCTAAAATAGTACAATGACCAATAAAATTGGAGCAAGATAAGAAGAAAAGACTACACTCATCAGTTTTATGACAAACTCTACAATATCTCCTTCACTTTTTACTGCACCAGGGTTTCCTGTCTGTGGATCAAAGGTATCAGTCAGAAGAAATAGGTTATGCTGAAATAACAAAAAGCCTACAAATGTCATTGGTTTACAAGAGCTGAGGTTTATTTCTTATTTATACTACATGTCCATCACAGGATAGTTTGAGGCAAGGCACATTATGATTGCTAAGAAACCCAGGAAGAAACCACCATTTCAAATGTTGCTTGTGCTTCAAGAAGAGGAAATTATAAAGAGTTTTACACTGACAATTTAGTGCTTGAGTCTGCAGGTGACACCAACTATTCTGGTTTGTAAAATTGAAATACTACTGGCATATGAGATTGTGCAGTCCAGGCTAACTACATTAACCTGAGCCTGCTGGGAATAATCTCTAAATGCTAGCAGTGATTGAGAAAGATAAATCAAACAGTTTGATAAAGAATAAGGATGAAAAGCTTAGTAGATGAAGCTTGGCTTAGTGGCAACAACTCTGAGAAGAATCAACTTAGCAAAGAAAAAATAAATGAATTGCACAATGTCAGATATTTAAGAAGGCAACATTCTCTTGTGGTCAAATTAAACGACATTAAAATCATTTGGCAAATCACTGATGAAAAGTAGGTTGGTAATGTGTTCAACAATTAACTAGAATATGCCTATGCTGAAAGTAATTCTATAAAGAGTATATGAAGCATTTCAGGAAAGTAAATCTCAATAAACACCAAAAATATTCATAATACTTAACCATAAATATTTTATAGTATACTAGAAACATTAACCCTGGAGATTGAAGATTGGCTTCCAGGTGTTTGGTTAAGAGTAAGTAACATAACGTTCTGAGGTTGGTTTACTTATCAATATAATATAGGTTGATCTAAGTTAGGACTCAGAAAACTAAGGTTCTTGGGCCAACTATATCCAACGGCCTACTTTTTTTAATAGTTCTCAAGCTAACGATGCTTTTAATGTTTTTTAAGTGAAAAGTAAGAAGGAGGAAGAAGAGGGAAAGTGGGTGAGGGGAGAAAGAAAAAAATGCTATAGAAATGAAGTAAATTTAATAGTGGTGGATAAGCTTTTTGATGTGCTGCTGGATTTTGTTTGCCAGTATTTTATTGAGGATTTTCGCAGCGATGTTCATCAGGGATATTGGCCTGAATTTTTCTTTTTTTGTTGTGTCTCTGCCAGGTTTTGGTATAAGGATGATGCTGGCCTCATAAAATGAGTGAGGGAGGAGTCCCTCTTTTTCTATTGTTTGGAATAGTTTCAGAATGGTACCAGCTCCTCTTTGTACCTCTGGTAGAATTCAGCTGTAAATCTGTCTGGTCCTCAGCTTTTTTTTGATTGGTAGGCTATTAATTACTGCCTCAATTTCAGAACTTTTTATTGGTCTATTCAGGGATTCATCTTCTTCCTGGTTTAGTCATGGGAGGGTGTATGTGTCCAGGAATTTATCCATTTCTTCCAGATTTTCTAGTTTATTTGTATAGAGGAGTTTATAGTATTCTCTGATGGTAGTTTGTATTTCTGTGGGATCAGTGGTGATATTCCTTTTATCATTTTTTATTGTGTCTATTTGATTCTTCTCTCTTTACTTCTTTATTAGTCTGGCTAGCGGTCTATTTTGTTAATCTTTTTTTTAAAAAAAACAGCTCCTGTGTTCACTGATTTTTTTGAAGGGTTTTCCGTGTCTCTATCTCCTTCAGTTCTGCCCTGATCTTAGTTATTTCTTGTCTTCTGCTAGCTTTTGAATGTGTTTGCTCTTGTTTCTCAAGTCAGCTTCATCCCTGGGATGGAAGGCTGCTTCAACATACACAAATCAATAAATGTAATCCATCACATAAACAGAACCAAAGACAAAAACCACATGATTATCTCAATAGACGCGGAAAAGGCCTTCGACAAAATTCAACACCATGCTAAAAACTCTCAATAAACTAGGTATTGATAGAAGAACCTATCTCAAAATAATAAAAACTATTTATGACAAACCCACAGCCAATATCACACTGTATGGGCAAAAGCTGGAAGAATTCCCTTTGAAAACTGGCACAAGACAAGGATGCCTTGTCTCACCACTCCTATTTAACATAGTATTGGAAGTTCTGGCCAGGGCAATCAGGCAAGAGAAAGAAATAAAGGGTATTCAAATAGGAAGAGAGGAAGTCAAAATGTCTCTGTTTGCAGATGACACGATTGTATATGCAGAACATCTCATTGTCTCAGCCCCAAATTTCCTTAAGCTGATAAGCAACTTCAGCAAAGTCTCAGGATACAAAATCAATGTGCAAAAATCACAAGCATTCCTATACACCAATAATAAACAAAGAGCTAAATCATGAGTGAACTCCAATTCACAATTGCTACAAAGAGAATAAAATACCTAGGAATGCAAGTTACAAGGGATGTGAAGGACTTCTTCAAGGAAAACTACAAACCACTGCTCAAGGAAATAAGAGAAAACACAAACAAATGGAAAAACATTCCATGCTCATGGATAGGAAGAATCAATATTGTGAAAATGGTCATACTGACCAAAGTAATTTATAGATTCAATGCTATCTCCATCAAGCTACCATTGACTTTCTTCACAGGATTATAAAAAGCTACTTTAAATTTCATATGGAACCAAAAAAGAGCCCATATAGCCAAGACAATCCTAAGCAAAAGGAACAAAGCTGGAGGCATCATGCTACCTGACTTCAAACTATACTACAAGGCTACAGTAACCAAAACAGCATGATACTGGTACCAAAACAGAAATATAGACCAATGGAACAGAACAGAGGCCTCAGAAATAACCCCACACATCTACAACCATCTGATCTTTGACAAAACTGACAAAAACAACCAATGGGAAAAGGATTCCCTATTTAATAAATGGTATTGGGAAAACTGGCTAGCCATATGCAGAAAAATAAAACTGGACTCCTTCCTTACAGCTTATAAAAAAAATTAACTCAAGATGGATTAAAGATTTAAATGTAAGACTTAAAACCATAAAAACCCTAGGAGAAAACCTAGGCAATACCATTCAGCACATATGTGTGGGAAAAGACTTTATGACCAAAACACCAAAATCAATGGCAACAAAAGCCCAAATTGAGAAATGGGATCTAATTGAACTAAAGAGCTTCTACACAGCAAAAGAAACTATCATCCGAGTGAACAGGCAACCTACAGAATGGGAGAAAATTTTTGCAATCTATCCATCTAACAAAGGGCTAGTATCCAGAATCTAGAAGGAACTTAAATTTACAAGAAAAGAACAACAACAACAAAAAGCATCAAAAAGTGGGCAAAAGGTATGAACAGACACTTTTTAAAAGAAGACATTTATTCAGCCAACAAACATATGAAAAAAAGCTCATCATCACTGGTCATTAGAGATATGCACATCAAAACCACAATGAGATACCATCTCATGCCAGTTAGAATGGTGATCATTAAAAAGTCAGGAAACAACAGATGCTGGAGAGGATGTGGAGAAATAGGAATGCTTTTACACCGTTGTTGGGAGTGTAAATTAGTTCAACCATTGTAGAAGACACTGTGGCGATTCCTCAAGGATCTAGAACCAGAAATACCGTGACCCAGCAATCCCATTACTGGGTATATACCCAAAGGATTATAAATCATTCTACTATAAAGACACATGCACATGTATGTTTATTGCAGTGCTAATCACAATAGCAAAGACTTGGAGCCAATCCAAATGCCCATCAATGATAGACTGGATAAAGAAAATGTGACACATATATACCTCAGAATACTATGCATCCATGAAAAAGGATTGGTTCATGTCCTTTGCAGGGACATGGTTGATGCTGGGAACCATAATTCTCAACAAACTAATACAGGAACAGAAAACCAAACACTGCACGTACTCACTCATAAGTGGGAGTTGAACGAGAACACATGGACACAGGGAGAGGAACATCACACACTGAAGCCAGTCAGGGGGTGGAGGGCTATGGGAGGGATAGCATTAGTAGAAATACCTAAGGTAGATGGCAGGTTGATGGGTCCAGCAAACCACTATGGCACATGTATACCTATGTAACAAACCTGAACGTTCTGCACATGTATCGCAAAACTTAGAGTATAATAATAAAAAAGAGAAATGAAGTGAATTTAGCACTTTCCACTCAAACCCTAAAATATTTACTATTTGGCTATTTTAAAAAGTTTGCTAATCCTGGTGTATATTAACTCTAATAGAAATATAATGTGGGTCACCAATGTCAGCCACACACATAATATTAAATTTTCCAAAAGCTGCCTTTTAGAAAGAAAAAAGTGACATTAATTATATTGATATATTTTATTTAACTCAGTAAATCTAATATTATAATTTCAACATGTAATCAATTTTTGAAAAAAATAAGATATTTTATATTCTTTTTGTTATTTTTGTATTAAGTCTAAGAAATTTGATGTATATTTTATAAGTACAATACATTTCAATTTAAGGTGGCCACAATTCAAGTGCTCAATAGCCAATGTGGCTGATGTCTATGGTATTTTACAGCAAAATTCTTAATGATCTCTGAGTTTTCTTCTATCTTTAAAGATTCATGATACTATGGCTATAAATATTTAATAGCTACAAATAACAAGTAATTAGACATAAGCTGTTTCTCCCTGGTTATCTGAGCAAGAGGATTTTAATGTTAGTTGTGACTGAAAATTGTATATCAACATGGCCTGTTGTTGAACACTAACAGGCTTTTCAATTCAGCTGCCAGCTGATTGAAGCCGTAACAAATTGCAGCTTGTCATTGCTAGGCCTCATTGTGCTCCTCAGAACTTCAGGGCTGTGCCCCATTCTTGTTAGAAAAAGCTGAGCTAGCAATCCTGTACAATCTCCAAAGAGTCCTTCATCCCAGTTACAGTTTTCCTGGTTATATTTTTGACAATAGTATTGGGAACTTCATTCTCATCCTTTTTTAGCCATATCCTGAACTAGACTTTTTGCCTCTCTTAAGCCTATTCCCCCTAATGTCCAGTTAAGTTCATTTCTGATCTGTGGCTCTAACCTTAGACTCATATTTTTACAGAAACTGATTTCATCCTGTCCCTGTTAAGTTGAGAAAACTGTACTCCATCAGTCCACCATGGGTTAAGAGGGCCTTCCCAGCACTCTACACTTGGGATATGCAGGTCTCTTGCGGGTAGAAACTCCATCATTTCACCTGAAGAAAATAATAACTGCATAACCACTGTGAAAACAGGCAAGAAATCACACCTCTGATTTCAGCATTTTACTGATTTGGACTGTTTTGTCCACTGCTGCTTACCATTCTCTTGGTTACATTTTCCTATTTCTTCCTACATCTAATAATTCTAGAATGTGTCCTAGATATTGTAAATGAACATAGTATCGGCTGTAATTCTGTTTATCTAAAAAACGTTTTTTTTTTTTTTAAAGAAAACTAAATTGGCAGAAGTCAAACTCCAAACTTGGTGTTTTCAAGGCAGCAAAAGAATTTCTCTGTTTATTTCTGTTGCGTTTAGCTAGGCTTTTTTTTTTTTTTTTTTTTTTTTTGAGACAGAGTTTCACTCTTGTCGCCCAGGCAGTGCAGTGGTGCGATCTTGGCTCACTGCAACATCTGCCTCCCGGGTTCAAGTGATTCTCTTGCCTCAGCCTCCCCAGTAGCTGACAGGCGCCTGCCACCATACCCAGTTAGTTTTTGTATTTTTAGTAGAGACGAGGTTTCTGACCAAGCTGGCCTCCAACTCCTGACCTCAGGTGATCCAGCTGCTTCGGCCTCCCAAAGTGCTGGGATTTACAGGCATGAGCCACCGTGCCTAGCCTAGCTAGGCTTCTTGAAGTCTTCCTTGCACAAATATAGCTTAGGAGTCGATCAGGGATGTGGACAGAGATTTTTTATAAAATATTGGGCTCCAAATTATGGCTCTCTCTTTATATAGGTTTTTTGTTGTTGTTTTGTTTTGCTTTTCAACTGTGGTTTTACCCCAATGTCTGTCCACTCATCCTTTAAGCCAGTAAGACTGAGCTTACTCTGGAAAATTTTTGAAAAAGTTAGGATATTCACCTTCACCGTTCCTTTATTGCACTGTAGACTGACATGGAGTGTCTGCTTACCTTTAAGTGTTTGCCAATGCCTTCTAGTACTTGTTATTTATTCTTTGTCCAGAGGTTTTGGTTACTATCTGAGGGAGGATTGGCTCAATAGGAGTTACTCCTACATTTTAAAAATCTGGGCACCTTTCCTTAAAATTGATAATGAAGTGAATGTATTGATAAAATTTGTAACATTTAAACATCTTCCACTAACTAAGCAAATATTTCTTGGTCAGGATATCTCACTATTTAAATAACCATAAAATATGATTTCATATTGTATTGTTTATTTAAGATATCTGTATTAGGTATTATTTAAGATATTATCGTGTTTTAACATGATTTGATCTCT